>NC_000010.11:50143095-50294610 GCF_000001405.40 Homo sapiens
CTTTTTTTCTTCTTTTTTTGAGATGGAGTCTTGCTCTGTCACCCAGGTTGGAGTGTAGTGGCGTGATGTTGGCTCACTGCAACCTCTGCCTTCTTGACTCAAGCGATTCTCCTGCCTCAGCCTCCCGAGTAGCTGGGATTACAGGCATGCATTACCATGCCCAAAAATTTTTTGTATTTTTTGGTAGAGACCAGGTTTTGCCATGTTGGCCAGGCTAGTCTCTAACTCCTGAGCTCAGGTGATTTGACTACTTCAGCTTCCCAAAGTGCTGGGATTACAGATGTGAGCCACTTCACCTGGCCCTCAGTAAAGCTATTTTTAAAAAGGTTTAACCACCTCACCAGAAACACGTGTATCATTTGTCCTAGTTTAAGTTCAAGGCCCCCATTTACAAATTTTTCACTGATTAATAGTCTTTTCATGTCACTACATAGAGATCTCCTTCCTTGTTTTCAGTGATGTGCACCTCTGGGTCTTTGCACTGGCTCCTGCCACTTTTTCGAACACTGTTCTCAGAATCCAGCTTGTTTCCTCACTCTTCGATTTCTCTGTGAGGCCTCGCTGATGAAATACACACAACAGGAAGCCTGCTAGCACATACCACCCTGTGCTCCTGGTCCCCTTTCCTGTTTCACTGTTTACCACGGCACGTGTTGCCAGGGGCAATGTATATTTACTTATTCATTGTCTCTACTTCCCACTAAAGTAAGTGCCACATAGGCAGGACTTTTTGTTCCCTGTTTGTATCCCTAACACCCTGTCCTTAATACCAGTGCTTGGCATGTGGTAAGCCATAGGCTCTTGTGACTACACAACATTTGCTCTGTTCTCAAGTGGGGTGATTCTGTCGATGTCTGGAGAAACTTCGGGTTGCCATGCCTTGAGGATTAACTAGGTGCTACTTACATCTAGTAGCTGGAGGCCAGGGAGGCTCCTGAACACTGTAGAATACACAAGACCACCCTCAACACAAAGAATGATTCAGCCCCAAATGTCAACAGTGCTGCGGCTGAGAAAACCTGTGTTAGACCAGCACTATCCAATAGAAATACAACCAACTGGTCGGGCCCGGGGTCTCACATCTGTAATCCCAGAACTTTGGGATGCCGAGGTGGGTGGATTGCTTGAGCCCAGGAGTTTGAGTCCAGCCTTGGTAACACAACAAGACATTCAACAAGAAATTAAAAGATTAGCTGGGCATGGTTACACATGCCTGTGGTCCCAGCTACCCAGGATGCTGAGGTGGAAGAACAAATTCAGCCCAAGAGGTCAAGGCTGTGGTAAGCCATGATTGCACCACTGCACTCCAGCCTGGGCACTGAGGCCACACTTCCTATAGGCTGCTCCCAGCCAGAACCGAGCATGCCAGGGTACTAGTGCCACCTGTTCCTGCAGGACAAGGGAATCCTCTAACAGTCAATAGTCCACCAGAGACTCCCAACTGATCCGGCCAAACGTTCCTAGAGCTGTGCTGTGTCTCGGACTCCTCCTGCCCTACCTTCCTTCCTTCCCCCTCTCCCCTCTCACATGGCAGTCTGAAGGCTCTCCCTGATCACTCCTGGCCCCTCTCTTAACCTGCACACGTGCATCCCCAATAAATCTCTGCTGATCTCATCCTAACTTGGTGTCTGCTTCTGGGAGGATTCATACTAACACAGGTTTCAAGGTCGGACAGCATTCAAATCCCACTCCCACCACAGACCCTGAGCCAGTTCCTACCCCTTTCTCAGCCTCAGTTTCCTAGCAATGAAAAGAATATTGAAACAGAAACTCTTTGAAAGATCTTCCTGTCCTGATCTGTTCCAGAATCGGGCTCAGCAGGGTTCCTGCAAGGACACAAGTGTAGCTGCCTCTGAGGAGCCCCTCAGGTGCCCATTTTAGCCAGTTTGTTTCTCCCTGGGCTCCTACAGCACATGTGCCCATCACACAGGGTTGCAAACACCTGTTTTCTCCTCTGATTCCCCAAAGGGTGCTGGACACCTGTAGAGGGGCTCTGTTTTGTTCACTTGTCCATGATGCTCAGAGAATGTTTACAGTGCACAGTGAATGCCGAGCACTGGAAATGCTCAGTGAAGCAAGCCAACACCAGCCCCACCAGCTGTCAGCAAGGAGGAGTTCTGTGGCTATAGTCTCTTTGGTTCCATGGAAATGACACCAACAGCCCACATAATTGAGGGCCCTGTGCAGGTGCCGGGTTCCCAGCAAAAGTCTTTGCATGTATTTTCTGTTATATGAATCCTCCTGGCATGCTCATTGAGAGGTTCCATTAGTACATGCCCATCTTACACATAAATAAACTGAGGCTCAGGGAACTGGAGTTGATTGTCCCAGCCTGCACAGCAGGAAGAATCAAGGGGTGAGTTTTGGGTTTTATTTTGCATATTTCAGCAGCTTTACTGAGGCATAATTTACACACCATAAAATTTACTCACGATAAATATACAGTTAGATCAGTAAATCTATAGATTTGGGAAACCGTCAGCACAAGCCAGTTTTAGAACATTTCTATTACCCTGAAAACATTTCTCTTGCCTGTTTGCAGGCAATCTTCCATTCCCACCCCCAGCCCTAGGCAACCACCAATCTGCTTTCTGACTCTACAGATGTGCCTTTTTCTGCACATTCCCTCTTAGTGAAATCATATACTGTGTGGCCTTTTGTGGTTGGCTTCTTTCACATAGTGTAATGCTTCTGAGGTTCATCCATGTTGTAATGTCCATTGTGGCTTCATCCCTGTCTATTGACAAATAAAGTTCTGTTGCATGGATGGATCACAAACGTCTACATATCCATTCTTCAGCTGGTGCACATTTGGGTTGTTTCCAGTCTTGAGCCATTATGAATAATGTTGTTATGAAAATGTGGGTATAAGTTTTTGTGTGAGAATATGTTTTCATTTCTCTTGGTTAGATCCCTAGGAGTGGAGTTGCTGGGTCACATGATAAGGGTAAGTTATACAAGGAACTGCCAAACTTGTCTATGTAAATTGGTTGCCCATCAGCAGTAGATGAGGGTTCCACTGCTCCAAACAGTAGTGCTGAGATTGGAGGCAAGTCCAGCCCAACCCCAGAACCCCATTACCCAGCTCTTTGGTGATCTTTTCTAACATTGGGATACCCAGCTAAGGAATGAGGATCATAGCTGTGCAGGAATGAGGGCTGTCTGTGAAAACAAGAAGTGCTCCTGCACCAGCCCAGACAAAGACCCCCCACTTATCTCCATTTATTTCTTGTCCTCCAAGTGATGCTGGAGCCCCTGGGTTTCCCCACATACAATCCCTCAAATTTCTGACCCCTGCTATTTATCTTCCATTGAGCCTTAGGTTCTGGTGAGAGTAACAAGGATAGACAAGGGTTCACAGCCCAGAGCTAGGGATGCCCTATACCCTGGTCAGTGACCTTGGAAGGGCTGATTCAGCTGGAACTCAATATTGAAGCACCTAGGATGTGCCTGTTTACACACAGAAAAAAGATAATGCAGAAGCATGGGGTCCCTGATTAGCTGATCTGAGCTGGGGTGGGGCTTGGCAATCATTGGATCCAGTGCTTTTCCTAAAACATGAGCATTGAGTTTCCTGCCCACACAACCCTGGGCTTAATTAAGTCCAAGGAACAAACAGGGTCCTCAGTATGCTTAAAGCATTGACATTGGATGGAAGACAATTCAATGTTTGAGAAATCCCTGCAGACCCTCTGGGAATGTTTTGAATTCTAAGGAGACCATCTTGCCCTACTTCCTTATTTGACAGAAATGGAAAACTGTGGCTCACTGAGGTGGAGTGAAATACCCCAGGTCATCCAGCAAGGTGAGGGTGGAGCAAAGGCTTGGTCCCATAGCATATATTCATCCATCTCCTTGCCCATCCATTGTCTTCCAGCAGAATGTAAGCTCTGAGAAGATAAGGATTTTCCTCTCCTTTTCTACAACTGCTGTCTTCCTTGATTCTAGCACAGTGGCTGGCACAGGTTGGGTGCTCAGTAAATATCTGGTGAATTGGCCAGGCACAGTGGCTCACGCCTGTAATCCCAGCACTTTGGGAGGCCAAGACAGGTGGATCACGAAGTCAAGAGATGGAGACCATCCTGGCTAATATGATGAAAACCCGTCTCTACTAAAAATACAAAAAAAAAAAAAAAAAAAAATTAGCCAGGCATGGTGGCGGGTGCCTGTAGTCCCAGCTACTCAGGAGGCTGAGGCAGGAGAATGGCGTGAACCCAGGAGGCGGAGCTTGCAGTGAGCAGAGATCATGCCACTGCACTCCAGCCTGGGCAACAGAGCGAGACTCAGTCTCAAAACAAAACAAAAAAAATCCAGTGAATGAACCCAAGTGCCCTGACTTCTCTGCTTCATTTCAGAAAGCTGATCTGAGCACCTACTATGTGCTACAAGCTGTGGCAGGTATTGGGGATAAGATTTGAGCAAGACAGGACCCTTGCCTTCAAGGCACTTAGTTCTCAAGGGCAAGACGGTAGGTATACAGCTAGGCACAGAATTCTGTGACTACAGTTTTTTAAATGCTACAAAGGGATTTGGGGCTTGTGTAATCTGAACTCAGCCGGGAGGTCACAGAAGACTTTAGACCAAGGTTTAAAATAAAGAGGCTGAGGCAAGGCTCCAGTCCCAGAGCATCCCCAGGAGGCCTACCCTGTTCTTCCATGAGTGTCTCCTGATTGGAAACTCTTGAGTCTAGGAGGTCAAGGTGGGAGGATCACTGGAAGCCAGGAGTTCAAGACCAGCCTCGGCAACAAGGCAAGACCTTGTCTCTACAAAAAATAAAAATTAAAAATAAATAAAAATAAAATGTTAGAGAGAGAGAGAGAGACACAGACACCAGCCTAGGTAACATGGTGAAACCCTGTCTCTACAAAACATACAAAAATTAGCTGGGTGTGGTGGCATGCACCTGTGGTCCCAGCTACTTGGGAGGCTGAGGTGGGAGAATCGCTTGAGCCTGGGAGGCAGAGGTTGCAGTGAGCAGGAATCACACGATTGCACTCCAGTCTGGGTGACAGAGCAAGACCCTGTCTCAAAAGTGAGAGAGAGATTGAGATAAACAGCAGGGTCTGACTGGAGCTAAATTAATGTGCTGAGCCTCGACTAACTGTCCCACCCACTGAGCAGCACTGAGCACAGAGGGTAAATCCTGCAAAGGAAGTGACCAGCTTAGAGAACACTGTTCATCACTCCAAGGCCTGATGTTAACCACCCTGAGGCTTCATATTAAACAGAACACAATAAAAATGTTCTGGGTATGTTTCTTGAAAAGAGTCCCTTTTTTTTAGAGATACGTATTAAAATATTTACAGACGAAATCATATAATGTCTGCATGTTGCTTCAGCATAATATTACAGGGGAGAAGGGATAGGCTGATGGCCATTAGAACATGCTGACGGTACCTGAGTTCTGTGTATCTTTAGGTTAAAATTTGTTTCAGCCGGGCGCGGTGGCGCACGCCTCTAATCCGAGCACCTTGGGAGGCAGAGGCGAGTGGATCACGAAGTCAGGAGATTGAGGCCATCCTGGCTAATACGGTGAAACCCTGTCTCTACTAAAAATACAAAAAATTAGCCGGGTGTGGTGGGGGTACCTGTAGTCCCAGTTACTCGGGAGGCTGAGGCAGGAGAAGGGTGTGAACCTGGCAGGTGGAGCTTGCAGTGAGCCAAGATCACGCCACTGCACTCCAGCTTGGGTGACAGAGCCAGTTTCTGTCTAAAAAAAAAAAAAAAAAAAAAAAAAAAAAAAATTATCCTAAAAGTTTCTTTAAAAAAGCAAAAAATGTAAATATATATGTAGATAGATCAATTACATGTGGACTTGGAGCAGCCAATGCCATTGCTTCTCATTCCCAACAGCAGCCAAGGCTCCTCAAGCTGAAATATTTGGGTCGGCCACACCTTTGCACCATGGCTTCCTTTGTTCTTCCTGAAGTCTTTCCTAATTGTGCTGGCATACAGGCTTTCCAGCAGGGAATCCCCTGTTTCAGAATTTCTTCCTAGCCTAACTAAAGCCCTTGCTGGATCTTATAAATCACAAGATTTCACAGGAGATGCAGCCCTGGATCAGATACTCACTAACACCTCTTGTCTTCCCTTGAGTGCTGGGAAAGGGATGCTGGAGACTGGGAAACATTTTGCCATTTGCAGTCTTAGGAGATCTTTGTAAAGATTTCTCCCTCTGGATGTTTTGACCAGGGCATTGCCAAATTCCATGTCCCAAGAGTCTTGGTTTCTGGATCCTCCTGAGCCTTTGAGTTTCCCATGAGGCAACAGCTGCAAGGGAGGCTGAGCCAAGTGGCCGTAACAACCAGGCAGAGTAGTGGGCAGAAGCAGGGGCAGGGTGCAAGCCTCTCCTCCCCAGGAGAGGAACTTCCCTGTGCCAAGGGGAATGAAGGGACCCAGGGGATGTGTGGCAGACCCAGTGCCCTACCTCTTTTCATAGTCTAGGTTCCCCACAGACCCCTTCATCAGCTGGCTTACTGTTCACTTCAAAGTCATGACATCAGCTGTGTGATGGGGGGGCAGAAATCCCTGGCATGGCCTCTATGTCATCCCTCTGCTGACAGAGGAGGATGCAGGCTTGGCCGGGATGCTGGAGTCACTGTGGATATAGACCCTGGCCCATTTGACTCAAGAACACATACATAACTGGAACCAAGAGGCTGGGTTAATCCCCTCAAGGCCCTGGCCACTTGGAAGACCCTAAGCCTCCTTCCAGGTGGCCATGCTAAGCAAAGCCACTTGCAGCCACCCTTCCACAATGCATTCTACATCATCCAGCTATGAAAACCACCTGCCCCCATCACTTTCACACTCATGCCTTCTCCAAAGCTCAAGGGGCCCTGGCCCAAACTTCCTTTAGAACCAGGAAGGAGGTTCTGGCCCTTTTGAAAATCATCCTTTTCAAACAGAAGGCGTTTATCTTGGCAAAGCTTAAAAGACAAAAAGCCCGTAATCCCAACACTTTGGGAGGCCGAGGCAGGCAGATCATCTGAGGTCAGGAGTTCAAGACCAGCCTGGCCAACATGGTGAAACCCTGTCTGCACTAAAAATACAAAAATTAGGCGGGCGTGGTGTCAGTCACCTGTAATCCCAGCTACTTGGGAGGCTAAGACAGGAGAATCCCTTGAACCTGGGAGGCGGAGGTTGCAGTGAGCCGAGATCGCACCACTGCCCTCTAGCCAAGGCAACAAAGAGTGAAACTCCATCAAAAAGACAAAAAAACAAAAAACAAAAAAACAAAACAAAGAGATGACAGCTGAGATCTAGGGCCCATCCCACAGACAATACCCACGATACCCAGACACGGTGCATCAGATGGGCACAGCTGGGACTTCCCACAACATGTGTGTCCCAGGCTGGCATGGAGACGCATCACAGATGTTGCTGCCGGGGGCTGCTGATAGCAGTGGCACTGGTGCTGGGTGGCTGCTATGGGTGAGGGGGTGTCGAGGAGGAGCACAGTAGTGTACATGATGTGAGTCAGGGCTCCCACGTGGCCGCCTTTGAATGGGCCAATGTCCAGGACCAGTACATGATTGTGATCTGCATCCTTGTGGTCAGCCTGGCCAAGGTTGGTTCTACCTGTCCCACAAGGTCACCACCGTGGTCCCTGAGAGCACCCTGCTCATCGTCCTGGGCCTGGTGCTGGGCAGCATCATCTGGGTGGCCGACCACATAGCGACTTCATGCTGACTTCCCCCATCATGCTAGATGCCGGCTACTTCATGCCCAACTGGCTCTTCTTTGGCAAACTGGGCACCATCCTGCTGTACCAGGTCATCAGCACCATGTGCAATGCAGCCACCACCATACTGTCCCTCTATGTCATTTCCCTTAGTAGGCTCATGGGCAACCTGCAGATAGGGCTGCTGGACTTCCTCCTGTTGGGCAGCCTGATCACCACTGTGGACCCAGCAGCCATCCTGGTTGTGTTTGAGGAGGTTCATGTCAATGAGGTCCTGTTCATCATCGTCTTCAGGGAGTTGCTACTGAATGACTCTGTACAATGTGTTTCAATCTTTTATGACACTGGGTGATGACAATGTGACCAGCGTGGACTGTGAAAAAGGTGTAGTGTCCTTCTTTGTGGTGAGCCTGGGGGGCATGACTGTGGGGAGGTGTTTGCCTTCCTGCTGTCACTGGTGACCCACTTCACCAAGCATGTGCACATCATCGAGCCTAGTTTCGTGTTCTTCATCTCCTACCCATCTGTAGGACATCTGAGACACTGTTGCTGTCGGCCGTCCTGGCCATCATCTTCTGTGGCATCTGCTGTCATAAGTACATGAAAGTCAACATCTCGGAGCAGTCGGCCACCACCATGCACTACACCATGAAGATGCTGGCCAGTGGCACCAATACCATCTTCATATCCCTGGGCATCTCGGCCATGAACCTGCTCATCTGGACGTGGAACATGGCCTTCATCCTCCTGCACTAGCCTTCACCTTCATGTACCGAGCCATAGTGTCATCCAGTCCTGACTCCTGTACTGCTATTGGATGATGCAGCTGGAGATCATAGACCAGGTGGTCATGTCCTATAGAGGCCTGCATGGGGCCATGGCCTTCATCGTGGTCGTGCTTCCGGACAGAAACAAGGTCAAGGAGAAGAACCTGTTTGTCAGCACCACCGTCATCGTCTTCTTCACAGTCATTTTCCGGGGCCTGACCATCAAGTCCCTGGTGCAGTGGCTGAAGGTGAAGAGGAGTGAGCACCAGGAGCCCAAGCTCCATGAGAAGCTGCACCACCATGCTTTCAACCACATCCTCTTGGCCATCAAGGACATATCCCGGCATATCAGGCACAACTATCTCAGAGAGATGTGGTCCCACTTTGACAAGAAGTTCCTCAGTGGGGTTCTAATGAGAAGGCTAACCCAGAAGTCTTGAGATGAGATCCTCAATGTCTTCGATGAGCTGAACCTGAAGGATGTCATCAGCTAAGCCACCAAGGGAGAGTGCCTAAGGTCCGTGGCCTTCATCATCTCCCCAAGTACTGATAACGTCGTCAACGTGGACTTCACGCCATGATCGTCCACAACGGTGGCCTCTGTCTCTTACCTTCTGAGGGAGAGCATCAGTGCCATCTGTCTGGACGTTCAGTCCCTGAACGTGGCAGACGTTCGGTATCGGGAGGACCCGGTCACGCACCACACGCTGCAGCAGTACCTGTGCAAGCCGGGGAAGGAGTACATGCATCGCTACAGCCACACCAACTGAGGACGAGAAGCAGGAGCAGGAAATCTTCGACAGGTCCATGAGGAAGCACCTGGAGTCCTTCAAGTTGAGCAAGCTCGGGATCAACCAGAACAAGAAGGCAGCCAAGCTGTACAAGCCAAAGAGCGCCCAGAAGCGGTAAAACAGCAGCATCCCCAATAGGAAGCTGCCCAGGTAGAGCCTCGTCACAATTTCACCATTCAGGAGAAAGACTTGCAAATTTCAGACACGGAGGAGGCCCCCAACTATGATGCTGAGGAGACGAGGGAGGGGGGTGGTGTCAGGGCGAGTACTGAGACCCCAGCCTCGTCGCCAGAGTGCCACCCTGGCTGTCTCCTGGGGAGATGGTGGTGTCCTCACAGAGGGCCTGCGTGCAGATCCCCCACTCTCCTGGCACTTTCCGCTGCCTGACGCCCTTGCAGCTCAGCTACAAGTCGGTGGACTCATTCCTGCAGGCAGATGGCCCCAGGGAGCGACCCCAGGCTGCCTTCCCCTAGTGCACGCACATGTGACACCGGCTCTGACATGCTGCTGACTGGACGCTTGTCCCGATGGGCCGCCAGCTGCGGCCTCCAAGAAGCTCCTGGGCGCCCCCGCCCGACCCGCACCTAGGGAGAACTCCCAAAGCTCTGCGCCTACTCCGGCAGAGCCGCACTAACGCGAACCCGCGAACCCGGGCCGGGGCCTGGGCCTGAGTGGCCATACTGCGCTGCTGAAGCTGGCATCGCTGCCGCCCTTGTGCCAAGCACTGCGCACGTCCTGGGGCAGGAGAGACGCCGCTGTGAACACCTGCCAGGCCGGAAATGCCGGCTTGAAGCTGGCTTCCAATGGAATCGCTGCCAGGGAAACCAACCGAGGCCCGCACAAAATGGATTTGCAAAAGTAATACCCCAGGCAAGACTCCAGGCCCCTCCCAGCCCTGCGCCTCTCCCTGCTGACGGTGGGGTGCGTCCAGAGTGCCAGCACTCAGGGTCTGACCCTGGAGGGTGGCAAGTGGGAGGACTAAAGAGAGATTGGTAAAGGGGGGAAAAACGGGGTGAGCAAGAGGGAGAGAAGGTTTTGTGAAAAGACAGTGGGGAGAAAAGACAGTTGGGAGGAAAGTTTTTGGTTAGATGGAGCGGGAAAAGAGGGTGGCGAGCAGGAGGCATAAAAGACGGTGGGGAGAAGAGTGGGGGAAAAGGTTTTGGGTAGATGGAGGGGGGAAGGTGATAAGCAGGAGGTGGGAAGGAGGGTTAGGAAAACGACGATGGAAAAATAGTTTTGGGGTAGATGGAGGGTGAAAAAAGGGTGGCATGTGGGAGAGGGGACGGGAGTGGGGAAGAAGAGGGTGGTGAGCAGGAGCAGGGAGAAGGCTTTGTGAAAAGATGGTGAGGGGGGAAAGACAGTGAGGAAAAAATGTTTTTGGGTAGATGGAGAGGGAAAAGAGGGTGGAGAGCAGCAGGGGTCAAAAGAGAGTGGTGAGTGAGGGAGACAAGGTTTTCCGAAAAGACCGTGGGGGAAAATGTTTTTGGGTAGCTGGATGGGGAAAGGAGGGTGACAAGTGGGAGAAGGAAAAAGAGGGTGGCGAGTGGGAGGGAGAGAAGGTTTTGCGAAAAGACAGAGGGCAGAAAAGAAAGACGGTGCAGAAAGAAAAACGGTGGGTAAAAAGCTTTTGGGTGGATGGAGGGGGGAAAAGAAGGTGGCAAGTGGGAGGAGAAAAGAGGGTGGCGAGAGGGAGGTAGGAAAGAGGATTGGGAAAAAGACGATGGGGAGAATAGTTTTGGGGTAGATGGAGGGCAAAAAGAGGGTGGCAAGCAGGATAGGGGAAAGAAGCGGGCAAGCGGGAAGGCGAAAGGGCTTTGTGAAAAGACGGTAGTGTTGTCTTATGTGGCTTTACACATATAAAATATGTTTCTATTCCTTTCCTTCTGAAAATTTTTAAGTAGTCACAGTAAGTCTACTCGTACTATAAGAAATGAATCTGGTGGGGTGCATTTGTAATCCCAGCACTTTGGGAGGCCAAGGCAGGTGGATCACCTGAAGTCAGAAGTTCGAGACCAGCTTGGCCAGCATGGTAAAATCCCATCTCTACTAAAAATACAGAAAGCAGCCAGGCATGGTGGTGGACACCTGCAATCCCAGCTTCTTGGAAGGCAGAGGCGGGAGAATCACTTGAACTTGCCAGGCAGAGATTGCAGTGAACCGAGATTGTACCACTGTACTCCAGCCTGGGAGACAGAGCAAGACTCTGTCTCAAAGAAAGAAAGAGAGAGAGAGAGAGAGAGAAAGGAAGGAAGAAGAAAATGAAAAAAGAAAGAAATGATTCTAAGTTACTGTTTTTAACTGCTGCAGAGTATTCTGTCGTAGGAACATACAATAGTTCATGTAGTTATTCTCCCAATGATGGACCTTTAGATCATTGCCAATATCTCACTGCTACCAGCAATGTTGCTAAGATAATCTTGACTATACTTTCTTGCACACACATGCAAATGTTTTGGTTTTAATAGATATGTCAGATGCCCTCCAAATTGGCTGCACTAATATGCACTCCCTCTGGTGGGACATGAGGGTACCCATTTGCCCAACTCCGGCTAACATTTATTATCAAAGTTAAAAATACTTGCCAATCTAATCAGTAAAAATAGCATCTCAATGCCCTTTTATTTGTATTTCCTTGATAAATGGTGAGATCGAGCATTTTTTTCTTAGCAATTTTAATTTCCTCAAATAGTATTTTCATATGAATTGCCTATTTGCTTTTCATTTGATTTTTTTTCTTATTGCCCATTTATTATGAATACTCATTTGTTTGGACTTTATTATCTTTGTGGGGTTGTTTTGTTTTGTTTTGTTTTTTTGAGACAGAGCCTCGCCCTGTCACCCAGGCTGGAGTACAATGGCATGATCTCAGCTCACTGCAACCTCCGACTCCCAAGTTCAAGTGATTCTCCTGCCTCAGCCTCCAAAGTAGCTGGGATTACAGGTGCCCACCAAGAAGCCCGGCTAATTTTTGTACTTTTAGTAGAGACAGGGTTTCACCATGTTGGCCAGGCTGGTCTTGAACTCCTGACCTCAAGTGATCCACCCTCCTCAGCCTCCCAAAGTGCTGGGATTATAGGCGTGAGCCACCATGCCCGGCCTATCTTTGTGTTTTCTATTGATTATGCTGTTTCTCTTTTTGTCCCTGTTCTTGCTTTCTGTTGGGTTGATTGAAATTTCTTTGTTCCATCTTATTTCCTTTACTGGTTTGAAATTTATACATTTCATTGCTATTTTTCTAATAAATACTCTTAATTTTTTATATCCATATATAATGTTGCCTAACAAAATCTAAAGGTAAACAGTACATATAGACTCTTCCCAAACAAGATAAGGAGTGTTCACTTCCTCCCACTGTTTTCCTTTTCCCCAACTCTCCTGTTGATATAATCCAGAATTCTAATTCTAAATTGTTATTTTAAGCATCCATGGCAATCAATACTTTAGTCTTAAATAATAGCATTGGCTGATTACTTAGAGAAGTGTTACTTTTTTCACACTGCTTCTTCCTCTGGATTCATGTCATTTCTTGCAGGAGGACTTCTTAAGAAGTTCTTTTCAACAGAATCTGTTGGTGGTAAACTTTCTTAAATCTTGAATATTCAAGGTCAAAATCTCCTTAAGCTGATAGGCAACTTCAGCAAAGTCTCAGGATACAAAATCCATGTGCAAAAATCACAAGCATTCTTATATGCCAATAACAGACAAACAGAGAGCCAAATCAGGAGTGAACTCCCATTCACAATTACTTCAAAGAGAATAAAATACCTAGGAATCCAACTGACAAGAGACATGAAGGACCTCTTCAAGGAGAACTACAAACCACTGCTCAATGAAATAAAAGGGGATACAAACAAATAGAAGAACATTCCATGCTCATGGGTAGGAAGAATCAATACTGTGAAAATGGCCATACTGCCCAAGGTAATTTATAGATTCAATGCCATCCCCATGAAGCTACCAATGACTTTCTTCACAGAATTGGAAAAAACTACTTTAAAGTTCATATGGAACCAAAAAAGAGCCCACATTGCCAAGTCAATCCTAAGCCAAAAGAACAAAGCTGGAGGCATCACACTACCTGACTTCAAACTATACTACAAGGCTACAGTAACCAAAACAGCATGGTACTGGTACCAAAACAGAGATATAGACCAATGGAACAGAACACAGCCCTCAGAAATAATTTACAACTATCTGATCTTTGACAAACCTGACAAAAACAAGAAATGGGGAAAGGATTCCCTATTTAATAAATGGTGCTGGGAAAACTGGCTAGCCATATGGAGAAAGCTGAAACTGGATCCCTTCCTTACACCTTATACAAAAATTAATTCAAGATGGATTAAAGACTTAAATGTTAGACCTAAAACCATAAAAACCCTAGAAGAAAACCTAGGCAACACCATTCAGGACATAGGCATGGGCAAGGACTTCATGTCTAAAACACCAAAATCAATGGCAACAAAAGCCAAAATTGATAAATGGGATATAATTAAACTAAAGAGCTTCTGCACAGCAAAAGGAACTACCATCAGAGTGAACAGGCAACTTACAGAATGGAAGAAAATTTTTGCAGTCTACTCATCTGACAAAGGGCTATTATCCAGAATCTACAATGAACTTAAACAAATTTACAAGAAAAAAAAAACAACCCCATCAAAAGTGGGTGAAGGATATGAACAGACACTTCTCAAAAGAAGACATTTATGCAGCCAAAAGACACATGAAAAAATGCTCATCATCACTGGCCATCAGAGAAACGCAAATCAAAACCACAATGAGATACTATCTCACACCAGTTAAAATGGTGATCATTAAAAAGTCAGGAAACAACAGGTGCTGGAGAGAATGTGGAGAAATAGGAACAGTTTTACACTGTTGGTGGGACTGTAAACTAGTTCAACCATTGTGGAAGTCAGTGTGGCGATTCTTCAGGGATCTAGAACTAGAAATACCATTTGACCCAGCCATCCCATTACTGGGTATATACCCAAAGGATTATAAATCATGCTGCTATAAAGACACATGCACACATATGTTTATTGCAGCACTATTCACAATAGCAAAGACTTGGAACCAACCCAAATGTCCAACAGTGATAGACTGGATTAAGAAAATATGGCACATATACACCATGGAATACTATGCAGCCATAAAAATTATGAGTTCACATCCTTTGTAGGGACATGGATGAAACTGGAAACCATCATTCTCAGCAAACTATCGCAAGGACAAAAAAACAAACACCGCATGTTCTCACTCATAGGTGGTAATTGAACAATGAGAACACATGGACACAGGAAGGGGAACATCACACATCGGGTCTGTTTTGGGGTGGGGGGAAGAGGGGAGGGATAGCATTAGGAGATATACCTAACGTAAATGACGAGTTAATGGATGCAGCACACCAACATGGCACATGTATACATATGTAACAAACCTGCACGTTGTGCACATGTACCCTAAAACTCAAAGTATTAAAAAAAAACACACACATACACACAGACTATGCTCACAAAGACCCTTTGCCTTACTTCAGAAAAAGAGGTAGAGCTACTATTAAGCCCCTACCCTGACAACTGGGAGACTAGAAATGAGCCTATTATAAAGAATTGGCAGCAGAAAAGGGACTAAAGAAGAATTAATACTTTTAAAAAAATCTCTTGAATGTGTGTAGTGCTATTAGCACTGGGGCAAAAAGCCTGATGCACTTTAAGTTCCAAAGTCTTTACCCTGTACAACCTTGCATAATAACTAATGTCCACAATGATGACACTGGGCCATTAAGGGAGACTAAATTATTCTTACAGTCCTATATTTAATCAAGTAAGGAAATATGTAATCTAATTTGGAAATCTTTAAGATTCAAAATAATGAGAGTTAACATTTTGTGTGCAGCTAGATATCTTATCTTGAAGACAGACTTTCATTTGCCACATTCTTAAACCCTTGAGTGTGGTCTATAGAAGTAGTCAGAAGTCATCTCCCATCTGGCCCAAAATTCTTCTCCCATTATTCTTTGGTTTATGCCACAAATATAAGTGCACTATTCCCAGATAAGGACTATATTCAATATCCACAGACAGCCTGTTTTGCCATGACAAAACCTGGTCCCTTTCAGTTCAGTCTCAGAACAGAGTCACATTCAAGAAGCAGTTTATAAGGAATTCAAATTTTTACTTACATTTCCCAAATGACTGAAAGGAATTCAAATATAAAGTCCGGAGTAACCTTGGTAAAGGTGTCATCTCGCCTTTGTCCACTTCCCTCACGTACTGCATCTTCTCTGGGATTTTCAGTAAATGTTTTTCTGCTCCCCTACCAATAAGGCTTTTCTTCCACCTGAAATTTCTCCCCAATATCCACCTCCTTTTTTTGTCTCCTTTATCTTCTTAGCCATTCCCATTTGTCAAAAGTTAACTCCTACTTTAGAGTTTAACTCAAATACAATAAAATCTCCTTTTCAAGGAATTCTTCAGTCCTATCACTGAAACTGAATTCCTTCTCCTACTACATTACAATGACTTCTTTAGTTCACATCCAAGAGTAACAGGTAGACTTAAAGAAAAGATAAGAACAGGCTCTAGAGCCATCAATCCTATTTTATTTGTTTAGTTACCATTTATTATGCCCCTTCTGTATGCCACGCATGTTGCATGCATTTTGCATGTGTTAACTCTTTAAGTCTCACTGCTTGCCTATGACATAATTACTATAAACCTCATGCTTTAAGATATGATAACTATAGTTTAAAGAAATTAAGTACCTTGCCAATAATCACATAGCCAATGAGTGGCATAACCAAGTTTCAAATCCAGAAATGCTGACTCCAGAGCTGAGGTTATTAACCAGTGGGGTGGCCATGGAGGAGTGCCACTCAGACTTCCTTTAAGAGAACCTGCCACAGTGAGCATAGTTGGATCTGCCACATTGTTCATACTGTTACAGTAGGTAACTAGTCAGACATGAGCAGGGCAGGAGAAAGCTCCCACTACTCCCACACACACCAAAAATGTTACACCACTATCACGTGATGATCAGGCAGTTGTTAGCCTCTCTAACATAATAATTGATCACAGCTGGTGCCAGGGAAAGGCAGACTCCCAATAGATAGAAACACTGAATCTGGTGATCAGCAGCTTCCCAACAAGATCTCAGGAGTTGGGTGAGTGGGCTCAAGCATGTGCATTAAGAGGCAAATGGTAGAGTTTAACTGGTATATGACCTTCTAGGATCCTTCTATCGGAAAGAGAAGAACACCTTAAGTGAGCATGCATCCAACTCCAATAAACACACTGCACATGCTCATTTCCCAAGTGCTAGCAGGTCACTGCACATGTGGACAGCCCAACCCAAGAGAATAATCAGTGGAGAAGGGACACAAGACCCCAGAAGAATGCCAACGTACAAAACTCCAAGTCAAAAGGTCAAACCACACACTTGATCTCTGAAGTTGCCCAGTTGGCCCGCTTCTTACTTCCTTTCATTCCTGCTTTAAAACTTGCCTCGGTCTCTCCTTCTGCCTTATGCCCCTCCGTCAAATTCTTTCTTCTGAGGAGGTGAAAATTGAGGTTGCTGCTGGCCCATATGGATTTGCCAGTAACAATAACAAGATCATACTTTCCCTGGGTTACCCCCCAAAAATGACTAAGCACAGCACAAGGACAAGAGCTGAGCCATTCTTGCCCAACACAAGATCCCTTTATCAAGCATTCTTTGCTGAGGAACTCCTCGCCAGCCTGACTAATGCTTTCTCAAGACTGCACTGTAGTGTGAGGATCTTCCTTTTCAATCATGCCTTCCTCCATCTCTCCTTTCACAAATACCATATCTGCACTGCAGTCTGAAGGTTCACCAAACTGTTTCTGCTCCTTTCCCCTTTCCCCTAAATAGGTGTTTTTCCATTAAATCTCTAGCACGCCTGAGCCCATCTCAGCTTCTGCTCCTTGAAAGACACAGGTGGTACCATAAGTGGTCCAGGAAAACAGGTAATATAATGGGGTTCCAGGACTGGCTCACTCACCATCCATTTGGCAAGAAGGACTGCATCCCAAATAGAATATCAAGTACAGATAGTCCCTGGCACAGGTGACAGGCCAACTGCTGAAGTTTTCATTGATGTTGACCTGGGAAGATGCCCTAGTCACAGTTCAATGATTCAGTGGGAACAGCTCAATGATTTGGGCATTTGAAAGATATCTGGGACCTACACATGCAAAGACAGCAGAGCTGGTAAATAGTTATCAAGTTATTATAATGCTTCACAGGGACATCATGTGAAAGTGACGATGACTGGCAACCAGCTACAAGCTAAGTGAGGAAACCACGGAGCCTCTTTGTTAATTTATCTCTTACAATAAAAAAGAAGACATGGCCAAGGAGCAGATTCAGAACTTAATAGTTAGAAATGCAGAACTCCAGAGACATTTAAATACACAGCCAAAGTAGGTCAGTTATACTAAGGCCAGGACTCTGGTTAGGAAAAGATGGAACCCTAGAATATGGGATGGGGATATCTGAGTGGATGGCCACAAGGATTTTGGCTCTGGAGACTATCCAGACCTTGCAGAGGTGGCCCACTGCACCACAGTAAGAACCAGCACTTCACTTATGTGGAAGACACTGCAGAAGCTTTAACTCCACAAGGCAACAGGTAACTTCCAAAAGACATGCTCCCATCTCCTCTTCTTACTCCCACACCACCCCAGTGGGTACGATTATATCCAACATAACCCAGCTCAGGACACACTGGGCTTCATAAGAGGGAAAGGATTATATATACTTCAAAGGAATGGCAAGAATTACCTAATAGGTACACACAGGAGCTGGGATTGGATTGGACTGGGCTTTGGCTTGATCAAGAGGCCAAAGCATAAGATTGGAAAAAGAAGGATTCATGGACTTGAAGACACTTTCTTGAGATGTAGGATTTAATGCTCTGGGAAGGGTCCCTGGGCAAGGGGCAAACTTACTACTGAGTGGGATACTAGTTTCCCATTGTTGATGTAACACATTACCACAACCTTAATAGCTTAACACAACACATATTATGTAACTTACAGTTGTGGAGATCAGAAGATTGAAATAGGTCTTACTGGGCTGAAATGAAGGTGTTGGCAAGCTGCATACCTTCTGGAGACTCTAAGGGAGAATCTGTTTCTTCATCTTCTTTGGTGTCTAGAGCCTGCTTATGTTCTTTGGTTCATGGCCCCTTCATCCATCTTCAAAATCAAGTGTAGCATCTTCAAATTTCTCTTCCTCTCTAACCATCCTACTTCTGTTTTTCACTTACAGGGACCCTTGTTGTTATAATGGGATACTTGGATACACCTGAATAATACAGGATAATCTCGCTATCCCAAGATCCTTGATTTATCCCTACCTGCAAAGTTCATTTTGCCATGTAAAATAATATGTTCACAAGTTCTGGGGATTAGGATATAGACACCTTTAGGGGGAGGGGGCATTATTCTGCCTACCTCAGGTAACTTTTTTGAACCTGAAAAAGCAAAAGCCCACACTGATTGAAGCAGAAATACTTAGATTTTCCTGGAATATGGAAAATACCTGGAGACTTTGAAGATTATTGGATATATGATTTGAGTTGATATTAACTCCTGGAAATATCATCAAAGCATCATCATTATCACCTGTTAAAGTGGAGCTTATCGCGTATCAAGTAATAAATGGGAACTGGCTAAAGTCTGGCTTACTGGGGCCCCACCAGGTCCACAAACCCGCCTAATGCTCACTGCTATTCACCTGAGCCAGTGTTGTTGAACAACAGCCTCCCCAAAGAAATAAAATAAAAGCCCAATGCCTGGTGGTCCTCTTTGTTTCTAGAGAGAGAATATTCCACTCCTACTGGCCACTGCTCTGGCCAGTCTACAGGATGTGATACAAGCCGGCCTGCCACTGGGGCCATATGAGCCTGCAGAACCCCGTGGTGTGGGAGGGATCGGGGATAGGATGAGATGCATTGCGGAGTGTATGGCAAACCCTAAGGGGATATTTACACCACAGGCCTGTGGGTATCTAGCCAGGCCATATCATCCACAGTGAAGAAACAGCTCCCAGCTCATTACGGGGCCCTGCTATTGATGAAACGCCTGACACCTGCTTCTCAAATTGTCTGAACCCACAGCCCCTCTGTTAAACTGAATCACTTGTTCCAGCCTCCCTCCTCCTGGAGCTGAGAGATAGTCCAGGGGAGGCCAGGCTAGAAGCCTAGCTGAGGACCACCACACACTAACACACGCAGCAGCCCCTCCACACCAACAGTGTACCTCACCTCAACCCTCTACCAGAGTGAGCTCCTTCCCCATCGAGTACAGGGTGTGGTGTTTAAATGATTTCCTCCAAAACCGAGAGGGGTTTTCTGGAGGAGCTTCACTCTAGGAGTATATTTTTCCTTCTACCACGCTCCTCAACTCCTAAAGCAAGTAGATCTATGGCCCATTTGCCCTGGAATCTCAAGAGCTTTGCTCCTTGCTCTCAGGTCCCTGGCGCAGTTGTTCACTATTCTCCCATTCTATGCCATTTTACGAAAATCCTTCCTCCAAGTTCACCACCCTCTCAAGGCCACAGCAGCTTACAGGCAGATTCTGAACATGGAGGATTGCACAATCATCTTGAAAGTGAACACCATCCACAGCTCACTTCTAGCCACAGAGTTCTATAGCTTCCCCTGGAAAGAGAAGAAGAATAAGGAAAGATCTTCTAACTTGGGAACCCTAAAGGGAAGAGAGGGGCCAAAAAGCCTACACTAGCACCTAAATTCAAACCAAACATACAATTGGGATGAAAAGATACAATTATTTTCATAATGTTTCATAATAAGATTTCTAATCCAAAGTCTAAGCTTTCTTCCTATCTCCTCAAACTTTTTCATCCCCCTTTTGTAAGTCCACAATTTGAAGAATTGAAGCCAGGGGGCAGGACAAATGAATTCTACAACATAGGGCAGACACTCAAGTTTCCTCTACATACTTCATAAATCTTGTCATCTGCTTTCCTAGCTCTGCTTCATAGTTGTCTTTGTGGGGTTTTATAGACCCATAATACTTTGGAATAAGAGAATGAAATATCCAGGATCTCATCTGGTACTCAGTTCAGCCCAAAGACATAAGATACACTATTTCCTGTTGATATGTGGAGAAACTGAGCCACAGAGGCACAGAGAGTGAGGGACACAGCCAGGATTCAAAGAGCCCACCTTGTCCTGTCCCCTATCCTGAAGGGAAGCTCTCAACCAACTTTCAGATACAAAGGACCCAAATAGTCATCTTAAAAAATTAGCTCTGGGCAAGTGACCTTCTAGAGTTGCCCGTTCTTTAATATTTGTTTCTTATTGGTAAGGTACAAAATCTGTGATCTCTTCAAGAGAGAGGCTTTGGAAGTTGAATCCCAGATAACTGAGTCATAAATTCTGCTTTCATGGCTAAGAAACCCAAAGCTTAGGAGAGACCTAGAGGTGACATATCTTATCCAAATTAAGAATTCCTTGCAGACATTCTTTCTCTCCAAGTATCCCTCAAAACAGGGCCAACTTTAGGAGTAGTAAATGGCTGTGTTTTTGAGGAGTGACACACAAAGACCACTCATCACAAACAGGATACAATTTCCAACATTCAAAGGAACAAATCACTTGCTTCTCCAAGAACCTTTAAAATGTCTCTATCCGAGGGAAATGTCAACTGAAAAGGGGGGCTCTTGTGACTCTCCTTATCAAGCAGATGATCTTGACCTCAACCACGTGAAAACCAAAATGACCTATTGAGAGGCCACATAATTCAGTGGGAATAGCATGAGCTTAGAAGTCAGGCAGGCCTGGATTTTAATTCTAGCACTGCCGTTTTCTAACTATATGCTTTGTACAGGTTGCTTCAACTGTCTCAACTCCTACGACCTCCTTTGTAAAACAGGGATAACATCACAAGGCTGTAAGGAGGTGTAGTCAGTTAACATGGCTGAAGCCCCTAGCACAGTATCTGGCACCTGAGAGACCAGTATTAGGAACACATTAAAATAAACAGGCCATGTTCAACAAAATGTAAGAAACACTGAATTAGACAAACTTAAACAGGTTTCTTGCCTTCAGAGCTCCTGGAAACCTGTGTTGTCCTAATGTGCATGGTAAATCTTCAAGAGAGGGACTATTATAGCAATTCCCAAACATATTGGATCATAGATCTTTTTTCATGGCACTAACATAAACACTGCTGAAAAAACCAATTTGGAGCAAAACCTAATAGACCCTTAATGGACATTAATTTCCTCCTTTCTTCTCTCACCCAGACTTCTTTACCTCCTAAAACTAACATACAAATAAGACACGTTGGTCTTTGTGACTTCAGCGACATCAGAAGTGTACTTTTGGGTTTTGATATTTTAACCTTAAACTCTATCATTTAAAATAGTAGTTTTATGAAAGGAAACAGCCAGGCACTGTGGCTTAAGCCTGTCATCCCAGCTACTTCGGAGGCTGAGGCAGGAGAATGACTTGAGCCCAGGAATTTGAGGCTACAGTGAGCTATGATGACACCACCTCACTCCAATCTGGGTGACAGAATAAGACTGCGAGACCTATTTCTAAAAAACAAACACCCCCAACCCCCAAAAAAGGAAAACAAATGATTTAACGTGTATTGACAAGATACTTACGAATGACTGTTATTTATACTGAATTTTTAAAGATGGCTTTGAGAACCTCTCCAAAGAGCTCAATCAAAGCACTATAATTAAGTTCAGGCAAATTATGAGATTAAAATATATGGCCTTAAATAACAAGCAAAACATTTTCCTTCATTGTCATCTGGCCTACCTTTACAGTCTTTGCATTATTTCCTGTCCGATTCAGTAGATGGCACTGCAGATTGAACATAGAGAAAATCCCATAGAGTTGCTGTGGATTCATCCTTGGGTGAATACTGATTTGTTTTGTTTTGTTAACCCTCTCTAGTTTCGATGTTGTTCATCTGCCAAGAGGGGAACTTGTGTATTTTGTGGGAGTGGGATGGGGTAAAGTAGTGTAAGTAATGATTTTCTGCCCCTACTGGAAACTCTCCCTGTGCCTCCTAACCCCTTGAAAATTGGCATTTATAGAATTCCCTAGCTCAAGAAGGCCAAACACAGGACTATCATTTGACCACCGATGCAGACCCGGCCCATATCAGACAGTGCTAATCACCACCCCAGGCCCGTGACCAGACAGTGCTGATCAATCACAGCCACTTTTCCACTGGAGCCAAACAACATTTCTCAATTGTTTTCAATACACTTTTCCAAGCAACTACTATAAATCCCACAACAAAGGCACAACGATGCAATCTATTTCTAATACCTGCCGGAGAGTTCAGAGTTTTTTCAAGAGCAAATCCTTAATAATACTCAAAGTTGTTAAGAAATGTATCCAAGCTTATCAGATGATTTTTGACAGAACAAGGACAAGAATTCAGGACTCTTGACTCTCGCAGAAGAGTTTATATTCCACCCTGACTTAATGCCCTACTGCTAAGAGTCAGACTGCTGAAGTACAGCCCCTGAGGACCAAGTTCAGATAGCCGAGTACAAAAGGTTTGTCTGGACTCTGGTGGCCCCACTCATCATTTGGAGATGGGGAGGGGAAGAACAGGCAGAAATTAAACCCAAAAACAGTTGATGGCGTCCTGTACTATTTGTGCAGGCCAATTTTGCGCTGGCCCAAGATAATCCTGCTCCATGGACCCAGAAGGGCATAGCCCTCCAGTTGCTCCTCCTTCAGGGCTGTCCACCTTCAGTTGCAAAGAATTTTTATCCATTGTGTTTTTATAAGGCAATCAGGTATCAACTATGAGTCAAATGGCAGGTCCCTTCATTAATATTGCATTTCCAGGGACAGCTTTTTCAGCTTCTGATTTTGTGGTCTAAACATGTTTTGGGGAAAAAAACAGGGAGAAGCTCTTAAACTATATCCTGTGACTTTTTTTCCCCGAAAACTACTGATGATGTCAGAATGAGCATTTTCAGTGGGTTTGGGGGCATTTCTAGATGAGGTTCAGTCATAATTTTAAATATCATGCATCCAAAAGTGGTATTGCCTCCCTCAGTCTCATTCCTGATTTTCTTCTAGCAGTTGAAACTCTTAAAGGCACTGCTATTCTCCAGTCAACTCAGATTTGAAATCTGTCATTTTGAAATCCCCCCTTTCCTTTACCCTGTTTCCACCAATCATACTAATTCTTGTCTGTTCTGCATCTACCCCCTTTTTTTAATGTCAGTGAAATATTTCAAGCCAATACAAAAGGTCAAAATAATAATCTAATGGACACCCACGTACTCATCAAGTTCTGTCAAATGTTTGCATTTTGCCAAACTCCGTGGTATTTTTTTAATAAAAGTCATGTTGACAATTAAAGGCCTTGCAAATCCATCCCTGATTCCATTTATTTATTGCTTTAGCTAGCAAATATTTATCAGTCATTACTAAGTGCTAAGCCCTATTCTAGGATTGGATGCACATCAGTAAATGAAAGAAAGCCCCTACTTTCCTGGAGCTTACATGGCCCAGAAGTTACCTCCATCCCAAATTTGGTATAAGTGGTTTCACACACATTTTCTCATTTATTCCATTTTATGTTCCAAAACAGTATACACTATTATCATGCATGTTTTCAAACTTTATCTAAAGAGCACTTTATTAACATGTAGTACATATGCTTCTGCCACTTACCTTTTTGCTTCACATGTTGATAATTATTTTGAGAGCTGTAGCTCCAGTTCATATATGTTAACTACAGTGTTCCATTGTGTAGAACACCATTCCCTGTTGAGGAACATTTAGGTTATTTTGCAATTTTCATAAATAAAAAACATTCTGTAATGAATAAGTCCCTCTCCCCAGGATTATATTTATATGGCCTCTTTCCCACTCATTACACTTGCCAATGCCTTGTTCCTAAGAGGAGTTCAGCCAATATGTGCTCTCTTGAATATTCTTCTAGAGTTGATCAGAAGTTTATTAGTGGACCACTCTATCTTTCAGAGAGAGTGGAGATTCCTCTCCTATCTTCAGAGAAGAATTTACATAATACAAGGATAAGAAAAAACTATCCCCATTACTAAGAGATACGGTTTTATTGGAAGAAGTATAAATAAGGTTAATTGGAGGAAAATGCCCTTTGTCTTCTTTGGCACAAACTTCCTTGAGTTCAGCACTCCTTTATTCTTCTTATCAGTATAGTAGTAATATCTGCAATGGTCTTTCTCAACCCTGACTGCCCATTAGAAGCCCTGGGAAAACTTTAAAAAGCCTGACCCTCAGTCACTCATCATACCAATCAATTGAGAATGTCTGGAGTGGGCTCAAACATTAGTACATTTTTTAAAGTTCCTCAGATATCTGTAACATGCAGCCAAGGTTGAGAACCATGGAGCTAGGGCAGGAGTGATCCTCAAATTATGGGCCCCAGCATGCTGCTGTGTGCTGAGCTCTCTGCCAAATTTTGGTCAATGTGCACAATTTATTTGCACTCTTACTAAAGATGCATGTAGTTCTCAGATTCTTAAAATGATCACCATTTAGCATTCTGTCACCATTTGTGTAGAATGGCTTACTGCGCTGACCATGTACTTATGTAACCCCAAGGCTAAGTCCTTCCATGTTCCACTAAACTTGTGACATTTCTCTGGCATCAGTTGAATGTTGTCAATGCCTCTTACCTACAGAAGATTGAGTGCTCTTTACCCCTCTACAACATGTCACACAATTTTTTTCTTGGCTCACTGTTCTGACAGGTGCCATTATAATAGTGTGTTCCCTCTCTAGTAGTAAAAATGAATTGCACGTATTTACTGAGGTATACGGTGTTGTCCAGCCCCATGTTCTAGAACTAATATAAGGATCTTTTTCCATCTTGAAACTTGTTCTTTATATCAGTGGTTACCTTTTAATCTCTTAAAATGTATTACCAAAAATTCAACTATTACAAATAAATCATGAAGCTTGAAAGATTAAAAGCCACAATCTAGAGGGCTCATATTAGGTTGTGAACAGCAAAAGGGTTCAAGGAGGCTGCTTCTTCTGGTTTTAGTGTACATTCATGTTTCTCAAACTTAGGTCTTTCTAGGAGTTCAATGGTTATCTATAAGAAATTTATAATGTTGTATTTTGATTCCAAGCAAAGTCAAAATATTTATATAAGTGCAGGACTGTTCTCCAGGTGGCCTTGGACTGACCAAGTTCTCACCTTCTTATTTGTAGTTCTTAAGAGTAACTAGAATGTGCTGAAAGTGCAATATCCTGAGGAAGGGAGGAATTGCATGGAATAGCCCAGGCCTTATTCCTGTCCCTCCTAGGGAATGTAACATTTTGAGTTAGGCAAGAACTGCCTAGTACAGCTTAGGCTTTGTTCCTCTCTCCCCTGGAAGCAGGATGCTCTTTGAAGTTTTGCTTAGTGAGCCACATTGCCCCTGAGGTATATAATCCAGAAGAGGCTGCCTCTCTGGGTCCTTCAGCTGTAGCACAAGTGGGACACGTGGAGTTGAGGTACCATCTGCCCCAGGAAGGTTTCTTGAACTTTGGGGGACTGTCTCACAATGTATCCTAGACAGAGTCTTGCTCTGTTGCCCAGGCTGGAGTGCAGAGGCACGATCTCGGCTCACTGCAAGCTCCACCTCCCGGGTTCACGCCATTCTCCTGCCTCAGCCTCCCGAGTAGCTGGGACTACAGGCGCCCTCCACCACGCCCAGCTAATTTTTTGTATTTTTAGTAGACATGGGTTTTCACCATGTTAGCCAGGATGGTCTCGATCTCCTGACCTCGTGATCCACCTGCCTCAGCCTCCCAAAGTGCTGGGATTACAGGTGTGAGCCACCACACCCGGGCTCTAGGCTTCTTTTATCACTTTCTGCCTGTTTGTAGGTAGTAAATCTACTTCATTTAACTTGTTGCATATGAGTGTGTTCTGTCTCACCAGCTGCAAACAAGTTGGTAACAAGTGCACAGTGAACTTGCTCCATAATAAGCACACTAGGAACTATATTGAGTACTTCTTATGTGCTAGGGATGCTAAGGGTTTAACATGCATATCTCATTAATCCTCACAAGGTTAGATAAAGTATTACATTAGAGTTGAAGAAAAAGCATAGAACACTTATTAGCTGGGCCTAAGGATGCACAGCTGATAGGTGATAAGGATAGGACTCAAACCCAAAGTGTGTAACTCCTAGGCCCACCTTTGTAATCACTACACTATGCTATTCCTTAAACTATCACAGTTTACTGAAGAAAGAAGTGAGATGGGCTTAAATGTAATTGATGCCTTGTGCCACGTGATGATCAACTGATGCCTTGGCATCTGCTCAAATATGAACTTCATGATAGAACAAACAGAGAAGAGTGGTGACTAGAAGTGAGTCATCAAACTCACTATAGCATAGTGGCCTCAAAAGGACTCATACAAGAGAGGTCAGGAACATAGTCACATTACAAGTGATTTAATTTCTCTAATAGAGCTTCATGAACCACATTTAATAATTATTATTTGATTCTTACTGGTTCATAGTTGTTCATGTATTCAGTGTTCTTTACTTATTTTTATAGTTGTGGAAGATTGATAAATAAAATGATTTATTCTTAATTTTTTCTACATACTTAACTAATATTTTAATAAGAATTTATAAGAAAATATGGGATCCATGAGGATTGTTTTTCCTTTTAACTCCAGTTCATTTATCACTCAAGTTTAAGGAACATTGATGTAGACTTAAGGACAAAGATGCACCAAACGTCCCAAAGTTCACAGAGGGTCCAGTCCTTGTCCCCAGGGCTTAGGGTCCAAAGCCCCTGTGTTTCTTGCCCAGCCTTGTGCTCTCTGTTTGGATCTAGCAACACAAATTATCAAGGACAGCTGACTGAGCATTCAGGTTTTCCAGGAACCTATTTCACTCCAATTTTCTTACCTCTATAACTACCTAACTTGTCCATAGATCTAGCCCACTGATATAGTTTAGATTTTGTCCCCACCCAAATCTCATGTCAAACTGGAGGACGGGCCTGGTGGAAAGTGACTGGATCATGGGGATGAATTTTCTTCTTGCTGTTCTTGTGACAGTGAGTTCTCACAAGTTCGATGATTTAAATGTGTGTGGTAATTCCCCCTTCTCTCTTTCTCTCTCTCCTGCCACCCTGTGAAGACAGTGCTTGCTTCCGCTTCACCTTCCGCCATGATTGTTAAGTTTCCTGAGGCCTTCCAGTCATGCTTCCTGTACAGCCTGCAGAACTCTGAGTCAATTAAACCTCTTTTCTTCATAAATTACCCAGTCTCAGGTAGTTCTCTTTAGCAGTGTGAGAACAGACTAATATACCCACCATCACAGGTGACCTTACTTTAAATGAACATCCTACAAGTAGAAGAAATAATTTCAGAGCTCAGAGACAAGGCTTTTGAATTAACCCAATCAAACAAAAATAAAGAAAAAAGAATGAAAAAAAAATGAACAGTCTCCAAGATATATGGGATTATGTGAAATGGCAAAACCTAAGAATAGTTGGTCTTCCTGAAGGAGAAGAGAAGATAGTAAGTGTGGAAAACTTATGTGAGAGAATAATTGAGGAAAACTTCCCTGGCCTGGCTAGAGAGCTAGATATCCAAATCCAAGAATCGCAGAGAATTCCTGGGAAATTCCGTGCAAAAAGATCTTCAGGCTATCTAAAGGCAAATAGTCATCAGTCTATCTAAAGTCAATATGAAAGAAAGAATTATAAGAGCAGCAGGTAACCTATAGAAGAAAACCTATCAGACTAACAGCAAACTTCTCGGCAGCAACCTTACAAGCCAGAAAGGATTGGGGTCCCAGCTTCAACCTCCTTAAACAGAAAAAACTGTCAGCCAAGAATTTTGTATCCCACAAAACTAAGTTTCATAAATGAAGGAGAAATGGTCATTTTCCAAAAAACAAATGCTGAGAAAATTTGTCACTACCAAACCAGCACTACAAGAAATGCTAAGACATGAGTTAAGCTATCTAGGTAACAACATGATGAAGAGAACAGTAGTTCACATCTCAATATTAACATTGAATGTCAATGGCCTAAACACTCCACTTAGAAGATACAGAATAGCAGAATGGATTAAAAAAAAATTACAATCCAAATATCTGCTATCTTCAAGAGACTCACTTAACACAGAAGGATTCATATAAACTCAAGGAAAAAGGGTGGAAAAAGGTATTCTATGCAAATGAAAACCAAAAGTGAGCACAAGTAGCTATTCTTTTTTTTTTTTTTTTTTTTTTTGTAGACACATTCTTGCTCTGTTGCCAGGCTGGAGTGCAGTGGCATGATCTTGGCTCACTGCAACCTCTGCCTCACGGGTTCAAGCAATTCTCCTGCCTCAGCCTCCCAAGTAGCTGGGACTACAGGCGTGTCATGTTGGCCAGGATGGAGCTCCTGACCTCGTGATCTACCCGCCTCAGCCTCCCAAAGTGCTGGGATTACAGGTGTGATACACTGCCCCCATCCAGAGTAGCTATTCTTATATCAAACACAACAGACTTCAAAGCAACAACAGTAAAATATATATATATAAAGATGGTCACTATACAATGATCAAATGAATTGATAATCAATTCAACAAGAAGATATTATAATCCTAAATTTATATGCACCAAACACTGGATCTCCCAGATTCACAAAACAAATACTACTACACATAAGAAATGAGATAGATAGCAAAATAATAGTAGTGATAGACATAGCACTAGACAGATCTTTGAGACATAAGGTCAACAGAGAAACAACACACTTAAATGGCATGCTAGAACAAATGGACTTAACAGACATTTACAAAACATTCTACCTAAGATCTGCAAAATATAAATTTTTCTCATTAGCACATGAAACATTCTTCAAGATAGACCATATGATAGCTCACAAAACAAGTCTCAATCAGTTTTTTTTAAAATTGAAATCATATCAAGTATCTTTTCAGACCACAGTGGAATAAAATTAGAAATCAATTCCAAAAGAAACCTTCAAGACTACAAATACATGGAAATTAAATAATCTGCTACTGAATGATATCTGGGTTAACAGTGAAATAAAGATAGGAATTAAACATTCTTTGAATTGAAGGATAATAATGACACAAGCTATCAAACCCTCTGGGATATAACAAAAGTGTGCTAACAGGAAAGCTGATAGCACTAAATGCCTTCATCAAAAAGTTTGAAAGAGCACAAATTGACAACCGAATGTCACACCTCAAGGAGCTGGAAAAACAAGAACAAACTAAACTTAAAGCCAGAAGAAGAAAAGAAATAACAAAGATCAGAACAGAACTAAATGAAATTCAAACAAACAAAAAGATCAGTACAACAAAAAGTTGATTCTTTGAAAAAACAAACAAAATTAATAACCATTGGCTAGATTAACCCAGAGAAGAAGAGAGAAGATCCAGATAAACTCAATTAGAAATGAAACTGGAGACATTACAACCGACACCATAGAAGTACAAAAGATCATTGAAGACTATTATTGTAACTGCCCAGTGGGTTCACCTTGCCCGCTGCCTAGACAGAGCAGATTTATCAAGATATGGGAGTTGCAGTGGAGAAAAAGTAATTCATGCAGAACCAGTTGTGCAGGAGACCAGAGTTTTATTATGACTCAAATCAGTCTCCCTGAGCATTCAGGAATCAGAGTTTTTAAAGATTATTTGGTGGGTAGGGGCTTGAGAATTGGGGAGTGCTGACTGGTCTGATTGGAGATGAAATCATAAGGGGTCAAAGTGAATTTTTCTTGCTGTCTTCTGTTCCTGTGTGCGATGGCAGAACTGGTTGAGTATTCTTGCCAAAAGAAAAAAAATTGACCTGAATTTAATCAAACTGTTAGATCTAGCTAATATGTAAAGGAAACAGCAAGGATAGAAGAAGTTAAAATACACCATGAATAAACAATTGGTCAGAAGAAGCAATGGGAAAATCTACTGGATAAATAACAGGATTTCCTTAACAAAAAAAGGCATGAAGGAAGAGATCATGAGAAATGTTATATATTAAGAGTGACATAAGAGACAAACCAAATGCTATGTATGGAACTTGTCTGCACTCTGGTTAAACAAATCCAGTGTAAAAGACATTTTTTTAGATAATCATGGAAATTCGACCACAGACTGGGTATTGGATGATGTTAGGGGGTTATTGTTAACTTTGTCAGACATGAGAATGACCCTGTAGTTAAGATTTTTTTAAGTCGTTATCTGTTAGAAAAATATACCAAGGTATTTACAGGGTAAATACTCTCCAGCTCAACCTCCCTCTCCATTCCAGAGAATGGTGAGGAGACAGATGAAACAACATTAGCAAAATGTTGGTACCTTCTGAAGTCGGACAATGGGGTAGGTGGAGTATCATCAGACTATTCCCTCTAGCTGCTTGTATGTTTCAAAATTTCCATGATAAAAGGATTTTTTAAGGTCTCAGAATACTCAATGACAGTCTAAGGTTGGAATCACAGTGGAATTCTCACGATGCGCCTCCCATGGTAGAGGCACAGCAAGAGTAATATGTATGGAAGGGGATCCTCAGGTTCCCCTTGGCAGGCTTCATATTCCCCAGCAAAGAGGAAACATGGTATTTCCACAGGACCCCACTACATTTTCTGCTAAAAGGTGGACACTGTTTAAAGAAAATAAAAAGTCCCTCAAAGATTGGAAGATCTCTCTTCAATAGGGTCTGTAAAGCATTCTCTATTCATAAACGCATTTCCTGAAATAGAACATATTCACATATTTAAATGTAAAGTGAATCACTTACAGAAAACACTGTTATTACTTTCTGCAATGCCTTTCTACAATCTGAATACAACTGTCTTCTGCCTTAATTTAAAACTAGGCCTACCATTTTTTTTTTTTATTTTTTGAGACAGAGTCTCTCTCTTTCGCCCAGGCCTGACTGCAGTGGCACTATCTCCGCTCACTGCAAGCTCCGCCTCCTGGGTTCACGCCATTCTCCTGCCTCAGCCTCCTGAGTAGCTGGGACTACAGGCGCCCGCCACCGCGCCCGGCTAATTTTTTTGTAGTTTTAGTAGAGACGGGGTTTCACCGTGTTAGCCAGGATGGTCTCGATCTCCTGACCTCATGATCCACCCGCCTCGGCCTCCCAAAGTGCTGGGATGACAGGCGTGAACCACCGCACCTGGCCTAGGCCTACCATATTTTTAAAAGTACAGCACAATTCCTTTCTGGTTTTCCCTCCATGTAAACAGAAAGAAGGACTATACACTGACATTTCCCCTATTTGCTGCAGAGCTTATAGTACTTGCATAATAAATTAGAGAGGAAAAAGACCAACTCAGTTCAACTGCAACAGAGAAGAAACATGCATAGTGATACTTATCCTGATTCTGTCAACTTGTAAATATGTATAATAGATATTCACACTTACCCACAACCCATAAAAGATGAATTTCCAAAATTGCAGAATATTTATTCTCTGTAAAATTTTAGTTAGAGCTGCATCCCAGATGATTCATTTGGCATTTAATGGTATGTAAATTAGTTTTGGAATTTACTACAGTCTTTGACAATGATAGATGACATTCACAGGCAACCAATGATAGACAAGATCACTTGCCATAAAATGACTATGTTATCCAGGAAAGTAAAGAAGAGACATAATTACTGGCCCGCTAAACTGGAAGGCACCCAAGAATCTCTTTTAGTAGGTGACTAAAGGGGAAGACATTTAACTATTGACCAGTGTATTTATTTCCAAAGCCTGCCATAGCAAAGTAACACAGATGGGGTGGCCTAAACAACAGAATTGTCTCATGATTCTGGAGGCTAGAAGTTCGAGACCAAAGTGTCAACAGTGCTGGTTCCTTCTGAGGGCTATAAAAAAGAATCTGTTCCATGTCAGCCTCCTTGCTTCTGGTGATTGCTGGCAATCTTTGGCAATCATTTGCTTGTAGAGGCATCACTTTGATCTCTGCCTTCCTGTTCACATTTCATTCTTCCTGTATGTGTCTCTCCATGTGACATTCTTTTTTATAAAAACACCAGTCATATTGGATTACGGACCCACTTTACTCCAGTATGATGTCATCTTAATTAATCACATCTGCAATGATTTTATTTCCAAATAAGGTTGCATTCTGAGATACTGAGGGTTAGGTCTTCAACATATCATTTTGGGGATACACATTTCAACCCATAACAACTCAGAGAGTCAAAAAAACAAAGAGGCCACCATACCAATTTCCACAGGTCAACTAGTAAAGACCTGATTTCTGATTGTATGCAAATATGTTGACATTTGTCCTAACCACAGTAGAAAAAGTATATAAATGGTAGCCTTCATAGGGCTGTAACAGGTATGTTATTTAGAATCCAGGTTCCAGATGCTTTAACAATGAGATGATACAGTGAAAAATGAGATAGAAGTTTATTTTCCTTTCAGTTAATCATCTGAGAATAAGCACTTTAGGGATGATTTAACAGCACTGAACTATTAAGGACCCTGGGATCCTTTATATTATTGCCATCTTCAACATGAAGTTTCCATCTCTGGGCTTTTGCCATCATGTTTGCCACACACCTATTAAGAAGGAAATTAGGGCAAGGGAGTTGTATTTGTCCATTCTTGAATTGCTATAAAGAAATACCTGGGCAGGGTGTGGTGGCTCACACCTGTAATCCCAACACTTTGGGAGGCCCAGGAGGGTGGATCATCTGATGTCAGGAGGTTGAGGCCAGCCTGACCAATATGGTAAAACCCCATCTCTACTAAAAAAAATACAAAAATTAGCCAGGCATGGTGGTGTGCGCCTGTAGCTCCAGCTACTTGGGAGGCTGAGATAGAAGAATTGCCTGAACCTGGGAGGCAGAGGTTGCAGTGAGCCAAGATCATGCCATTATATTCCAGCCTGGGCAACAAGAGCAAAATTCCATCTCATAAATAAATAAATAAATACCTGAGACTGGGTAACTTAAAAAGAAAAGAAGTCTAATTGGCTCTCAGTTCTGCAGGCTGTACAGAAAGCATCGTGCTACATCTGCTTACTTGACTTCTGGGGAGGCCTCCAATAACTTATAACCATGGCTGAAGGCAAAGGGGAGCAAGATATCTCACATGATGGGAGCAGGAGCAAGAGAGAGCGTGAGTGGGGAGGTGCTAGACACTTTTAAACAACCATATCTCTCCAGAATTCACTCACTATCATGAGAACAGTGCCTAGAGAATGGTGCTAAACCATTCATGAGAAACTGCCCCCATGAGCCAATCACCTCCCACCAGGCCCCACCTCCAACATTGGGGATTACAATTCATCATGAGATTTGGTGGGGACACAGATCCAAACCATATCAGCAGTGTATGCCCATTACTTTTGAGAGTACAAGAGGAAAGTAGAACACATCACTTCTCTCATCTCATTGAACAGAACTTAGCTATATGGCTACAACCGGCTTCTAGAGGTAGCCCTGGGCTATACAAAGGCTGGGAAATACAGTCCTAACCCATGACCAGTTAAAACTATCACTGTGGAAGAATGGGAGAGCAGATTGTGGTGTGGAGTCTAATGGTCTCTTTCACAGCCAGTCAACCTAATAAAACTCCACAACTCCTTATAATCCCCTTCCACTCTTATGAAATTGCTGTCAAGTTTCAAAGGCTTAATTCAGTCCTTATCCCTTTAAGCTTCTCTACAATGTTTGATATAATTGACCTGCTTGGAGTTCTTTCTTCCTGATATAGCTTGGCTCTGTGTCCCCAGCCAAATCTCACCTTGTAACCCCCATAAATCCCACGTGTTGTGGGAGGGACCCAGTGAAAGATAATTGAATCATGGGGTCCAGTCTTTCCCACGCTGTTCTCATGTTAGTGAATAAGTCTCACAAGATCTGATGGTTTTAAAAATGGGAGTTTCCCTGCACAAGCTCTCTCTCTTTGCCTGCTGCCATCCACATAAGATGTGACTTGCTCCTCCCTGCCTTCCGCCATGATTATGAGGCTTCCCCAGCCACGTGGAACTGTAAGTCCATTAAACCTCTTTCTTTTGTAAATTGCCCAGTCTTGGGTATGTCTTTATCAGCATCGTGAAAACGGACTAATACACTGCCCCTTCTCCTAACTCTTCTAATTGTTTCTTCTTAGTAATATTACTTTCTGGCCCTGCTTCTGTTCATCTTCCTTAAAGTAAGTGGTTCCAAAAGGCCTGTCATCCGAATCTCTTTTCTCTTTCTTATATGCCCTCCCTTTTGCAAAGTCATCAACTTTCTTGATTTCAACCATCAGTTTGAAGTTTGATGCTTCCCATATATCTGATCTGTTGCCCTACTTTCTCTCCAGTGTCTCTACTCCACATTTCCCACTGTGTGCTGGACTTTGCTATATCTTGTCAAAGTCTCAGACATCCAAAACTAGATTTACCATCATCTCTCTGAAATCTGTTTCCTTTTACCTTGGCTCTTGTTTATAGCATTACTATAACCCAAATGTTATAGAGTTTGGGTTGTTGTAACTGTCTTCTCCCTACCTTATCCAGTCAATGAGTATATTGTGTCCATTGTAACTCTGGAGTTTTATACACCCACACCTTTCTGACCTGTTCCTAAAGCCATTGTTCTTGTTCTTGTTCTGACTTCATTACCTCTTAGTCTAGACCATTCTACTAATTTCTCTCCTCATTCTAACTCTTCCTACACTAATATCAGCGATGCCAAAGCACAACTTTGAAAAAGATCAGGGAAAGCATAGTCATTGTGGCTGACCATGATACCAGTCTCAATGGTAGAACTTTTTAGTTCCTACAATTTTCCAGATACTTACATGCAATATCTCATATAATACTCAGTAACACCTAACTAAATTAACAGCTAAGTAAATTAAGTACATACATACACCAGGCACTGTGCCAAGAACTGTACCTTATTTTAATCTCACAACCTAAAAAGGTAAGTACTATTATTGTTCTCTTTTTGTATACTAAGCAACTGAGAGGAAGAAACAAAGGCTTTACAAAACTGAGTAATTTACTCACGGTCTGATATTGGTTAAATGGTGAAACTAGGATTTGAACCAGTTAGTTTCCAAAATACCCTCTCATAAACATTAACTTAACCTCATAGCAATGATAGAAGGTCATTATTACTATTATTATTTCATAAACCAAGGAAATTAAGTAATCTTAAATTGACAAGACTTCAAAGCCCAAGTTCTTTCTTTTCTTTTCTTTTTTCTTTTTTATTATTGTACTTTAAGTTCTAAGATACATGTGCACAATGTGCAAGTTTATTACATATGTATACATGTGCCATGTTTGTGTGCTGCACCCATTAACTCCTCATTTACATTGGGTATATCTCCTAATGCTTTCCCTCCACCCTCTCCCCACCCCACAACAGGCCGAGGTGTGTGATGTTCCCCTTCCTGTGTCCAAGTGTTCTCATTGTTCAATTCCCACCTATGAGTGAGAACATGTGGTGTCTGGTTTTTTGTTCTTGCGATAGTTTGCTGAAAATGATGGTTTCCAGCTTCATCCATGTCCCTACAAAGGACATGAACTCATCATTTTTTATGGCTGCATAGTATTCCATGGTGTATATGTGCCACATTTTCTTAATCCAGTCTATCATTGTTGGACATTTGGGTTGATTCCAAGTCTCTGCTATTGTGAATAGTGCTGCAATAAACACATGTGTGCATGTGCCTTTATAGCAGCATGATTTATAATCCTTTGGGTATATACCCAGTAATGGGATGGCTGGGTCAAATGGTATTTCTAGTTCTAGATCCTTGAGGAGTCTCCACACTGTCTTCCACAATGGTTGAATTAGTTTACAGTCCCACCAACAGTGTAAAAGTGTTCCTATTTCTCCACATCCTCTCCAGCACCTGTTGTTTCCTGACTTTTTAATGATCTCCATTCTAACTGGTGTGAGATGGTATCTCATTGTGGTTTTGATTTGCATTTCTCTGATGGTCAGTGATGACGAGCAGTTTTTCTTGTGTCTTTTGACTGCGTAAATGTCTTCTTTTGAGAAGTGTCTGTTCATATCCTTCACCCACTTGTTGATGGGTTTTTTTTTTCTTGTAAATTTGTTTGAGTTCTTTGTAGATTCTGGATATTAGCCCTTTGTCAGATGAGTAGATTGCAAAAATTTTCTCCCATTCTGTAGGTCGCCTGTTCACTCTGATGGTAGTTTCTTTTGCTGTACAGAAGCTCTTTAGTTTAATTAGATCCCATTTGTCAATTTTGGCTTTTGTTGCCATTGCTTTTGGTGTTTTAGCCATGAAGTCCTTGCCCACGCCTATGTCCTGAATGGTATTTCCTAGGTTTTCTTCTAGGGTTTTTATGATTTTAGGTCTAATATTTAAGTCTTTTTAATCCATCTTGAATTAATTTTTGTGTAAGGTGTAAGGAAGGGATCCAGTTTCAACTTTCTCCATATAGCTAGCCTGTTTTCCCAGCACCATTTATTAAATAGGGAATCCTTTCCCCATTGCTTGTTTTTGTCAGGTTTGTCAAAGATCAGATGGTTGTAGATGTGTGGTATTATTTCTGAGGGCTCTGTTTTGTTCCATTGGTCTATATCTCTGTTTTGGTACCAGTACCATGCTGTTTTGGTTACTGTAGCTTTGTAGTATAGTTTGAAGTCAGGTAGTGTGATGCCTCTAGCTTTGTTCTTTTGGCTTAGGATTGTCCTCACAATGTGGGCTCTTTTCTAGTTCCACATGAACTTTAAAGTAGTTTTTTCCAATTCTGTGAAGAAAGTCATTGGTAGCTTCATGGGGATGGCATTGAATCTATAAATTACCTTGGGCAGTATGGCCATTTTCACGATACTGATTCTTCCTACCCATGAGCATGGAATGTTCTTCTATTTGTTTGTATCCTCTTTTATTTCATTGAGCAGTGGTTTGTAGTTCTCCTTGAAGAGGTCCTTCACATCCCTTGTAAGTTGGATTCCTAGGTATTTTATTCTCTTTGAAGCAGTTGTGAATGGGAGTTCACTCCTGATTTGTCTCTCTGTTTGTCTGTTATTGGTGTATAAGAATGCTTGTGATTTTTGCACATTGATTTTCTATCCTGAGACTTTGCTGAAGTTGCCTATCAGCTTAAGGAGATTTTGAGCCGAGATGATGGGGTTTCTAGATATACAATCATGTTGTCTGCAAACAGGGACAATTTGACTTCCTCTTTTCCTAATTGAATACCCTTTATTTCCTTCTCCTGCCTGATTGCCCTGGCCAGAACTTCCAACTCTATGTTGAACAGGTGTGGTGAGAGAGAGCATCCCTGTTTTGTGCCAGTTTTCAAAGGGAATGTTTCCAGTCTTTGCCCATTCAGTATAGGCTGTGGGTTTATCATAAATAGCTCTTATGATTTTGAGATATGTCCCATCAATACACAATTTATTGAGAGTTTTTAGCATGAAGGGCTGTTGAATTTTGTCAAAGGCCTTTTCTGCATCTATTGAGATAATCATGTGGTTTTTGTCTTTGGTTCTGTTTATATGCTGGATTACGCTTATTGATTTGCATATGTTGAACCAGCCTTGCATCCCAGGGATGAAGCCCACTTGATCATGGTGGATAAGCTTTTTGATGTGCTGCTGGATTCGGTTTGCCAGTATTTTACTGAGGATTTTTACATCGATGTTCATCAAGGATATTGGTCAAAAATTCTCTTTTTTTGTTGTGTCTCTGCCAGGCTTTGGTATCAGGATGATGCTGGCCTCATAAAATGAGTTAAGGAGGATTCCCTCTTTTTCTATTTATTGGAATAGTTTCAGAAGGAATGGTACCAGCTCCTCCTTGTACCTCTGGTAGAATTCGGCTGTGAATCCATCTTGTCCTGGACTTTTTTTGGTTGGTAAGCTATTAATTTTTGCCTCAATTTCAGAGCCTGTTATTGGTCTATTCAGGGATTCAACTTCTTCCAGGTTTAGTCTTGGGAGAGTGTATGTGTCCAGGAATTTATCCATTTCTTCTAGATTTTCTAGTTTATTTGCGTAGAGGTGTTTGTAGTATTCTCTGATGGTAGTTTGTACTTCTTTGGTATTGGTGGTGATATCCCCTTTATCATTTTTTTATAGCATCTAGTTGATTCTTCTCTCTTTTCTTCTTTACTAGTCTTGCTAGCAATCTATCAATTTTGTTGATCTTTTCAGAAAACCAGCTCCTGGATTCATTGATTTTTTTGAAGGGTTTTTTGTGTCTCTATTTTCCTTCAGCTCTGCTCTGATCTTATTTATTTCTTGCCTTCTGTTAGCTTTTGAATGTGTTTGCTCTTGCTTCTCCAGTTCTTTTAATTGTGATGTCAGTGTGTCAATTTTAGATCTTTCCTGCTTTCTCTTGAGGGCATTTAGTGCTATAAATTTCAAAACCGCTCAACTACATGGAAACTGAACAACCTGCTCCTGAATGACTACTGGGTACATAACAAAATGAAGGCAGAAATAAAGACATTCTTTGAAACCAATGAGAACAAAGCCACAACATACCAGAATCTCTGGGACACATTTAAAGCAGTGTGTAGAGTTCTTTCTTTTCTTTATACAACTTCCTATTTATGTTCCTCAGTTATAAATGAAGTTCCAGTCCCTGTGAAATTTCTTGCATTCGTGGATTATTGACATTAAGAGAAACTGAGAAGAGACAGGCAACAAGTCAGCACAATACAGTCCACAGTGTAGGAAAGCCTTCCAGAGGTTGTATTCTCCTCATGATAGTGGAATCAACTTTATAAAATCACAGATACTAGTTTCTTGAAATTCCACTTAAGGGTGTCTTTCTCCATGTTATCACCACTGTCCCTTGGCCATTTAGGGGATGTGGTTGGACTTTGTCCTAAGCTTGCAATTGCTGGATTATTAAGTTCTTTTGTCCTTTTAGCTTATTTTGGTCTGGAAAAAAAGGGTAAATCTTTTATACTGAATATGAAAAATACAATGAGACAGAGAAAATGATCAAGTCAATGTTTCCAGATACCTGATTTCAGACAGGGATAGTAGATCTTCTATTCTCCTCTAGCTAGTATTGACCCCATACCCCTAGGCTTCTAATTTTTCATTATGGTAAAAAAATCCAGAAATAGGACTAACCGAAGCTGGGTCCCTGATAACTTGGCAGTATGCAGGCCAAGATGCTTTGAATTTTATGAGGGTGGCTCAAATTTTTAGTATTCACAAGTATTTATGAACTCGTAAGGCTGGAACTCTGAACCCTATCTAAAGGGAGAGAATGGTCTTCATTGGTTATACTTGCCATTTTAGCAGGTACAACAAACAAACAAACAAAAAACAAAAGAAATCATAGATTTGGAAATATGAAATTGACATAAGCAAAAGAAGTCTCTTAATAAATTCAATTCCATGGGTTTGTCTATGGACAGGTTTATAGCCCTGAAGACAGAAGGATGACACTAAGTGGTACTGGAAACTGGGAGTCAAGGTAAGTTTTTGGTTATAGAAAGTGTATTTTATTATTAGAGCAAATGGCAAATACATTCAAGGACATTGATGTTATAGGGGAAGAGTCTCAAGGGGGAAAAATGCTAATACAAGTATAAAACCAAATTGCTATTTATGAAGGTAAAGTTTGGTGCTGCCTCACTGTCAACTCTTTCCTTATACTCTAACTATAGTCTTGATAAAGTACTCAATATTCCCTCTACATGGAATAGTCTATTTGCCCAGTACACAAACACAAACACACACTAATACACACATACATGCACACACCATTGCCTTTCTTCTAGCTAATTTCTACATGTCTTTTAAGTCTTAGCTTATATGTTATTTCTTCCAGGAAACTTACTGAAACATCCCCAAGACCATATTAGGTGCCCTCTCTAATTCCCTGAACAATAACAATATGGGTCACTCTGTACAGTAATTACCTGTTCATCTGTTTGCTTTGTTCGTTAAACGCTAAGTTCCTTTTGGCAGGGAATAGCTTTGCCTTCATTATTGTTTCATTCTTAGGATTTAGCATAATTTCTGCCATAAAGTATATAGGTGCTTGATATAAATCTGTTAAAGTAACGTATACATTTTGCAATACAGAAAGCAATTTTTTTCGTCATTATTCCAATGTGTGTTCTTTTCCAAAATATATTTTCTAGAGTAAAACGAGTTCTAATTATTTCAAAGAGCAGTTAATTTGGATATGCAGATATTATTGCTTGCCCACTGTGGTAACCTTTAGGGCTGCTTGCAAATATCCTGGTTCTGTCACCTGCCCAGTGAAAAATGCACAGTAATGTGGAAGCTTCACGAACTATTGCATGATTCTCCCTGTCCCTTCCCCCTAATCATGGAAGCACCTGTTCCTGTTCCCTCACAATGGAAGAATGTTTAGAATGGAAGTCTCTGTCAGCCTGTGAACTCAAATGAGATGTGGAACAGATCCTTCAGCTAACCCCAATGGACAGGTCATGAGATCAAGAAATAAATCTCTAATGTTGTAGCATAACTAATCTGTCTTGACTAACATAATTTTATGACAGCTACTTCGGCTATCTCTTCTTTCTTACTATCAGAACTTGCCTCACTCTCTAGAAGCACAAAATACTAAATATTCTTTTTTCCAGCTTCCCTTGCAGGTAAGAGTAGCTGTGTGGCACAGTTCTGAACAAAGAAATAGAAGGAAAATTCAACTTGTGTTCTTACTATTTTCCACCTTCTAAAAGGGGATTATAAAGAGAACTCTCTCCTCCCATTTTGCTGCTGCATTCAATTATATGTAGACTTGAGGTAGCGATCTTTTAGCTAAGAGGATAAGCCTAAGAATTAAGTCAATATATTAAGAAGAGCCACTGAGTGGCTGCACCAAACCTGAATTTATCACTTCAAGACTTACTGCTATGTGAGGTTATAAATGTCTTTAGTGTTTGGATGGATGTTGATCAGGAATATTTTCTGAGTTACAGCTGAATGCATACTAACAAATTGCATAAGGAATGTGCAAATTTCCCTCTCCGATACCCTATCACTCTAAAATTTTGGAAGCCAATATAAACCAGCAAGTCAGGTTGGATACCCAGGAAGCAAGAGCATCATTTGGAAGAACTAAACACATGAGAAGTTCATCTAGTGATGAAACCTTTTGGCTAAAGATAGAATCCATGCGCTAATCTTAGAAAAAGACAGTAAGCTTGCTTACATTGGAGGAGAAGCATAAGAGGGCACATTAGAAAAGGACATTCATAAGTAAATTCATTCTTGGTCTTTTTGTTCAGAATTAGCGCATGAAACAATTTCATAGTTAGCTACCTGCCTAGGAAATTTTTTTGCCCAACTAGTAAAAAAGAGAAAGAAAATAAAAGAATTGTCAACCATACATGTGTTTTACCAGCAGTACATCTTCAGAAGTTAGAAAGGAACTGATAAAGAAGTGGTTCCCTTGTGCTTCAGTGGTTATTTACAAGTCATTTGTATCACTTTCCAACCTAACTTACATGTAATCTACCACCTTTTGTTCCACCTCTTTTTTTAAAAAAGTGTTCGTTTGTCTACATTACCTTTCATTAGACAATACTTTTATGAGTGTAATTCTTAATTTATTATTAAATAATCCATTGAATATTGACAATTTTACACAGTACTCATCAAAAAATCTAGACCTGGAAAAGAGATTATTCAGTGCTTTTCAAAGAAGTCAAAAAATCCTTAAAACCAGAGTAGGCAGGGTACAGCAAATAAAATGCAGACATTTTAACATGAGAAACAAAATCTCCAAAATTGTTCTCCTACCTACCCAATCTGCCATATTCCACTTTTTCCACCAATTTCAGGAGTTTCTGCCACATGGTTTGGCTCCAGTGAGCCAGTCCCTGCAGCATCCACAGACATGAATTGGATCTGTGTTTTTATATCAACAGATAAGTTCAATTACTTCATGATATTCTTTTATGCACAGGTAAAGAACTGATATTGATAATCCAGGAATTTGGTTTTATTTTTACACATGAACTGCGAACATAGAACTGCATGCCCTAGAAGAAATGACAGCTGGTGAGAAAATAGGTTTCTGTGCGTTATCTGGAGCCAAGAGTGCTAGGTGCAGTAGGATCAGTAGATGATACAGTGGCCACCTTGGTACAGTTGCCAGTGAGCTATCAGGAATCACAAGTAGATTTGAGGAAAGCTTCAATAGAAGGAATAGAGGTAGTGGAAACTGATTCATGAACCCTTCTGAGTAATAACAAATACTTTAAAAAACCATATCATAAGTTCTAATATAATTTTCTTGTCTGGAATCAGCTACTTTCAGGATCACTTGTTCTTTTAGGCTTCTGAACTTTTACACTGAAGACTGTGGCATCATCAGAAAAAAGATCACAACACTTGGAATCCCTGATTACCTAATCCTCCAGCAGTTAATGCCCAAGGAAACAGCCTCTAGGATACCAATTCATCAAAAAGTGTTCCAGGTTCATTCTAATTCAATAAATTATGTTGAGATTAAGTTATACATAATAGATGTTAATACTACCATTATGAATATTGTTATTATTTTCAAACCTCAAAGTTTATTTTTAAAATACAGATTGATTTTTTTCCCTAAAATGCTAAAGCTTTTACATACATACAAAAGTATGACCTGGGGTTTGGAAATTTGCTTTGCAGTCTGGGAGGTTGTAGTTAACTTAAAGAATTTTAAATGCAATTAGTACTTTCAGACAATCGATGTCAGACTGTCATATCTTATTCTTTGGGGTATGAAGCAAGGTATTTTACAATGCCCAAAAATAACTTTCAAAATAGTATTTAGCAAACTGTCTGGAGCCTCTTTCCCCCCAAATTAGAGTATCCAACACAGATGATACACAAGATATAACTTGAAGATTACTGATTTTTTAAATGCTTCCCCAGAATTTACATATTAAATCGATTATTTTCTCCTTCATAATAGTTACCTTTTGACACTTACACATTCACCCCAAGTACAAATTCACTAATTATCAAGGCCTAGGCACTATTATAATTCTGGGCATATAAATCTTAAATATTCTATGATTGAATGGGTCCATGAGTGAGTGAGTGAGCAAATGGTAAAAGAACAGATAAATTAATTTAGAACCTCTGCTTTGAGGAGTGCTTTCCCAGCCAGTAATATTTTTAATATCTACACTAATGGCAAAACTTTCTGGTTTGGGGTGAATTTGATTAATGAAAAGAGTCAAAAAATCATTTGGAATAAGTCTTGGGAGTAAGAGACACAATCCAGTGGGATAAGGACACTTAGGAAAACACAAGGCATGATCAAAATATTGGAAGTCTGACTTTCTCATAATTGTGTCCTGAAGGCAATTCCAGAAATGATTTGAGCATCCACAGCGGCTCTGAACTAGGCATGTTAACTCCAGAATGACTGCTTAGAAAGACTATGTTATTTTGAATGAAGGAAAACTGACATGCTGATTTTCTGTTTCTCTAATTAGGCTCATACATTCATGGTCAAGGTTTATATCATATTTTGTAAATGTGATTAGAAGAAAAGACCATTTTTCTTATATGTAAGATGAAGGGTAAGACTAGATGATTTCTATAAATTTTCCCAGTACTAATATTCAGTAATTCTATATATAAATAAATAATTTAAACATTGTTCACATTAGTGAGCCATTCTCACTAATATTTCAGAGGTTTTATATTGAAGGGACTCTCCTTTAAACAACCCCAAGACTTCAAGGGAAATCATGCTTTAGGCTGTAGACCACAAGATATATGGCTGCTGGAGCAAGATATATGGGACAAACCTCTCTCTCTCTCTCTCTCTCTCTCTCTCTCTCTCACACACACACACACACACACACACACACACACACACACACACACCCCTCCACCCCATTAGCAGTAAACTATCTGTCCCCAAACAGGGACGATTATAGAAGTCAACATGGTAGTTCACTAGTTCACATTCATTTGAAATCACTTATATAATGTGTAGAGAGTAAAGCTGTTCTTTAAATGATCTATCAACTTTTCACTAAATAGTTACAACTTCAAAAGCCGGGGAAGTGCCTTCAAATGAAAGTATGACAGCAGGCTTCAGAATGTCCTGCTTCCGATTGTGTCCAAAATATCTTATTCTGTAGATTCCAGGCTGGGCAGTGTCTGGAATATGCCATTCCACTGTTGCATTACTCAGACCCAGGAGTCCCTTGTGCCAATAAAAACTGTTGATAAAAAACAAACAAGCAAGCAAAACTCAATTTTACTCTTAAAAATGTTTAATTAGAAAAATACATGATTATTCATTTAATGAATATTCAGAGAATACCTACAATGAGCAAGGCACTATCAAGACATTGAAGATACAGCAATGAACAAAACAGACAAAAACGTCTATTTTCTAGAAGAGAAACTTTAAAGAACAGCAATTTGTAGAAACAGCTTTACTTGTTCTACCTTTCTACCTACCTAAATTATACTCACCCCAGGAAACCTTACCTGATAGCCACAAGATGTCTCTCCTGCTGTAGAATTGCAAAGCACTCTTTTAGCCCTTATCTGACACTTATTTTCACATCTAGATTCATTTGTTTTCTATATATATATGTGTGTGTGTATATATATATATATATGTATATATATATATAGAAAATGAATACATGTCAGACTCTCTTCTAGAAGTACTGAGGGTACAGTAAGGAGCAAGATAGATATGGTCCCAAGTTTCATGAAGCTTATGTTCTACTGAGTTGAAGATGGAAATAAATGCAATAAACAAAAAGCAATAAATATAAAAATCTTAAGAATGACAAGTTTAGTGTAGAAAACAAGATGGAAGTTTTTTAGGGAGATGTCATTTAAACTGAGTCTGCAGAAATCTGGAGGAAAAAACATTCTAACAAGAAGGAACAGAAAATACAAAGTGTCCAAAGCAGGAACAAACTTGATGTGGCCACAAAGCAGAAAGCAGGTCAGTTGGTACAGGGAATGGTAAACCATGGAAGAGTGCTTGAGATGAGAGAAACAGGTGGAACCAGATCATGTTGGCCCCTGCAGATCACAGCAGAGAGTTCAGACACTCTTCTAGACTCAGTGAGATACAACGGGCTAACTGATATCCTCAGTTATGCTGAAAGTAAATCTCTTGGGCACAGAGAGTGTGCTCGACATTCTGTGTTTCTCAGTGATGGGTTCAGTACTCTCAACAAATATTTGATTATTCTGCTGCTAATGAACAAGGCAGAGATCTAAACATATCCTCAGTATTGACTGCTATTAGCTAAAAACTTTGAGCATTTAAATATAAATCATTCTTTTTATTACCTGTATAACCTTTTCAACGATAAATATACATTACTTGTTTTAAAATGTACCTATACTCTACAGCTCTAAATACCAAAGAAAAATTTTGCCCATATTTGTATATGGGCCATGGTCAAATTCCTATTTTCAATTAACCATCTGAACCATACTAACATATTTACATTTAACAAACTAATATCACTTAGTTTGAGGCAATCTGAATTAGACCCAAATTGCCAAAAACTGTACCTACTTCCATGCCACTGTCATGGAATGTTAAATTTATAGACTTGGGAACAGAAGTATTGTCTTATTTCAGACACATTATCAAATCTTCAAAATATCTATTCAACTCAGGAATTTGGTAGCAAAAGGCAAAGAGATATGTCTCTCCGGAGAAATTGCCTGAATATATTATCTCCTCACTCAAGTCATTAAGAGTTAAACACCCAAGCTTCTAGTGTTTTAGTAACTCAAATGAAGAATCATTGATCATATACAAACATGCAATACATGTCAGGTATAGACTCATTTTCCCTATAGAAATATCAAGCTCTACAGAGACATCTCAACACTTTTACTCTATACTCCTTTCAACCAATTTGCAAGGAAGCTAGTTAGATTTTACAAATAATACCTGTGTCCATGGGGAAAAAAAACAGAACAGATGTCTGTAAGAATGGAAGCCATAACCTCATTAGCACCTAATCTTACAGAAGCACACACCACACTGTTTTGCAGAAAAATGAATCAAAATGAAATCTAATAAATCAACTAAATATGTCCAGAAACCTCCTTGGGAATTTGATATCATTAATACCTTGTACTGAGCCAGTCTTTTCATTTGTCTTCCCAGCATTACAAGCCAACTGGTTTCGAAGCTTGAAAGACAAAAATATTCAATAAATGTGCTCACCGAGTCTCCCAGGAGGCATCATTACACACTATCTGCCACGATGTTGAAGTAGCCTCATATTTCTCCACAGTGAGGAAGGTCTGATGGGTCTGAAATGCAATTAATAAACCTGATCAGGTACTGCACAGTCACAGAAGGAACCTGTTTGTAAATACTCCCCTTGTTGACCATATGTTAGCCTACCAATACCTTGTGTGAAAATGTGTTAGAATTTCATCCAAATTCTTAGGCTTTCCTCTTAACATTCTATGCAATGTACTCAGAATGTTAATTTATCCAGTCTATTAAAAAACATGATTTTTTTAGAAATGTGAAAGAAGTGTAATTTTAGAGTTAGTAGCAAATTTTGGAAATTAGGGCAGAAAAGAGGCTGGGAATAAAACTTACCTGAGATTTTAAAAAGGTATAAGTCAAGCCTTTTCATGATATGTTTATTGATCTATATATCCCAAGACTTTCTCTAGTCACCTCAAAAGTTAGAAGGGAAAATGGTAAAGTTTAGTCTACTTTCCATCTCCAGGTGAATGAATTATTAGTTAACGTACCTCCCTGAGTGAAAGAATTGAAAAGAATACATAAATCTTCCCTATCCTGGGGTACTAAAGGAGGTCTTTAGATTTTTTATAATAGATTTCTAGAAACCACATCATAAAAAGATTTTATTTCCCCATTGGAAGATTATTATAATAGAAGAATTTGTTTCAGACCAAGAATTCAGCTTCAAACAAAGCACAGATTTGAATGATATGACAAGTTAATAAAGACAAAGGCTATACATTTCTAGTATCCTTTTAAATCCTTGAGATTGTGACCCTAAAAGGTACATGTCTAATTCACTTATATTTATCACAGTTCTTTACATCTGTCATTTACTGGTGCTCAAATAACCCCTTGCTAAATGTATCACCTATTTACATGTGGGCCATGTAATTGTTTAAAATTCTCCTTTAAGTATTCAACTGATGAATTACATTCAATAAGGAAGTTTTCATAACCATAGGAACTTGTAAAGAGAGTTATTTCTGTCTATTTATGGCAAATGACATTGGGAAGGCCTTAGATGGAGAAGATATGGTGGGCTTTTTGAATATGTCTAGAGTAGAGACTGAAGAACAAGTCTAGGCCTCTGAATACCAGGGATAAAACATATGACAATCTTTTCCCAACTGCTCTACCGTAATCTCTTCCAGATGCATAATTAGGTACTGCATACATTAATTATGCATAATATAAGTTACTTTATCTCTCTAGGCCTCAGTTTATTCATCTGGAAAGTAAGGGTAATAAAACTTAACTCATTGGGTAGTCGTAAGGATGGAATTAATCATGTGATAATGCATATAAAGCACTTTAATAGGAATACTTGCAAATACTACCTGCAAAATAGTAAGCATTCCATAAATAGTGATGATAACTACTAATGAAGAAGGGTGATAGAAATTGTTTTATACCAAGTCCCAGAGCATTCTTTGAAATTAATTCTATTACCACTATAGTAGTTTAAAGGTTTTGTTCTCCTGCTTCTCCATGGCAATAATGATGATAGAATTTCTCTACCCTAGGGATATCAGGTGACAGCTAAACATGCAGTTTTGATATAACACTTTGATATCTTCAGAAAATAATGTTATGAACACGTAACTATTGTGGCACAGATTCACTTACTAAAGAAATTACTTCAAACAGGTGCATATTGACTACCTAAGAAGTAGAAGACTTTCCTCCAATGTCATATTTGAGAATGTCATATTGCCACAATTGTTATCTTGGCAATAATGACATTTTAAAAACAGGAATGGGAAGGTTCTTTTGGAAGGAAGGTATTTTTGGATTATAAGTGACTATAGGCCCTGGGAAGAACAGCTAATTGATATAAGGAATGCATCCTCAGCCACAGTGAAAACCATGACCTCGAAATCACAGTCATATGCCCACTCTTTTTCCACTATAAATTCCTTTATTATTTGAGGTTTTACAACTAGAATGTGTCCAGTTACTGCTTGTGTAGTTATAAGTATATTTTAAGGAAGTTATACAAGTATACATTAATTTTATTAATAGATATATTACATATGTATATAGTTTATCATACATATGATAAAAACAAAAAAGTCTAAAATGCTTTATTAAAAAACTCTTAACAGCTATTACCTCTGGAAAGCAGGTTTGTGGGTAGAAGAGCACTTATATATTCTATTTTCTACACTTCTATATTGTTTTAACATTGGGCATGTATTTTGAATGTCATTTTTTAGGTTTAATAAATAAATGCTCTATTAGCACCAGTAGTAAATAATAGGGAAATGGCCAATGCAAGATAAAGTAAAGCACATGCACCAGGACTCCAAGCCAGGAGAGTATACACCTGGGGATCTGTGACCGTTCCACAACAGTACAGGTAGGACCAGAGATAGTAGTGTAGAGGAGGAGGAGAGAGCCAAAAAGAGAAGAAGAAGCCAAAGACACACATCCTTCAGTTGGCCCTTTGACTATTTCACAACATTTGGTAGAGTTCTATATATTTGAATACAGTCATATATCGGATACATCCTGAGAAGTGCATTGTTAGGCAAATTCATCATTGTATGAGCATCACAGACTTAGACTTACACAAACTTAGATGGTGTAACCTCCTACCTAGGCTATATGGTATAGCCCGTGGCTCCTAGGCTACAAATTTGTACAGCCCGTTACTGTATTGAATGTTGTAGGCAATTGTAACACAATGGTAAGTATTTGTGTATCTAAACATACCTAAACGTAGAAAAGGTACAGTAAAAGTAGAGTATTATAATCTCACGGGACCAATGTCATAAATGCAGTTCATCTTTGACTGAAACATCATTGTATGTGGTGCATAATTATATATATGGGATTGTATTCAACTTAACATCTTCTTGACAGACAATGCAGTCATACATGCATTATGCTATACTTGGTCCTAAGTGGAGCCAATTATATGTTTCCTGTGTGCTTTTACCCAGACTCAATCCACATTAACTACCTATTGAATATTTTCCCGTACCTACAAAATAAGATGGAAAACAAGTTGGAACATTTTGTCTTTATGTTATTAACCTCTAGAGGGATATTTAAATGAATGAATGGCTAAAAAGTGGATTTACATTTGTAAAAGAAAATCATTGATACCTACCTGGTTTTGTACTGAATTCTTCGGGTTAGCACCTACAAATATAACTTCAGCAACTTCCCCCTGAAAGTAAAAATTCATTTAATGATTTCTAATAAACGGTTTTTTTGCTATACTCATATTTTGGACATTATTTATTATAAATTCTATAATTTAGGGTGCCTTTATAGATTTTGTTCTATTTAATCAAGTAAGTTATCTTCTAAGAATATTAACCCTTGCAACAATAGACATAGGAATGTTTGGCCAATGAGTTTGCTTTTGGTAGACTCAGATACAAGTGAAGATCTAGAGCTGTAGTTTATATTAGTGACAGCATATTAAAATGGCTTCTTCAGGCCTTGATAATTCCTCACACCTCCCTCCCAACACAAATACAGGGAATATTTGAATCAAATTAGAACAGTCAAAACTTTCCACAGATGACTCATATTTATGCTTACATTTATACTTAAGCTTTTATTTTTATAAGAGATGGAGTGGCAGGATGTGTATTTATCCTCCCCCCTGAAACGACTAAAAAACTGGAAAAAATATATATTAAACAATGGATTTTCAAGTGACAAAGAAAGACAGTGATATTTGAGTGGCAGCAGACAAACAAGAACCCTGTAATCCACCAGCTCAATGTCATCAGAGTTTACGGGCCACGGCAGAAGGAGGAGAATTCAGGCCAAGTCTGGCAGTCTAAGTTGAGGATATGGAGCTGGGTGTCCACAAAAGCCAAACAGTCTTGAGTTTATAGCACAGAGCATCATAGAGAGGATAGCTGCACAGAGACAGAAATCTGGAGATTTGCAGAAAGCTCCCCTCAAGTTTGCATGCATATAAGGGAACTACTGGAAGCCAAGAAAAGAATGGGCTAACAGAATTACAGAGAACAGTCCCCAGGCTCATAGAGAGTTGTGACAAGATTCTGTTCCCACCAGGCCAGACTGGAAAACCTCATAATTCAAAAGAATTTTACATTAGTGTGTGAGGGGATGAGGGGTGCTGGGGGAAGTGAGGAAGGGATTTGCTCAAGATGAAAATCTGCTCTGGTCCTGCCTAAAAAATTTAGTAATAGGTAATGCAATAGGTAAAAGCAATAAAACTAAATGCTAGTTCTTTGAGGACACAAATTACCAAAATTAGAAAGAAAGAGGGGATATCATTGTCAACTCTTCAGAAATTAAAAGGATTACAGGGGATTATCATGAGCAACAACAACTTTTATATTACACCAACAAATTAAACAACTTATATGAAATGAGAAAATTCCTAGAATGATACCAATTCCTATAAAGATAAATTCCTAGAAAGACACAAAATTGATGCAAGGAAAAAAATAGGACATATGAATGGTCATATAACAAGTAAAGAAATTGAATTAGTAATAAAAATTTTGCCATAAAGAAAAGCCAGGTCCATATGGCCTTGCTGGTCAATCCAATCAAATATTTAAAGAGTAAATAATGCCAATCTTTTGGATACTTTTTCAGAAAGTACAAGAGAAAACATTTCCCAACTCATTCTTTGAAAGCACTATTGCCCCAATACCAAAGGCAAAGACAACACATAAAAAGAAAACTAAAAATATCCCTCATGGACATGAGTAGAAAACTCTACAATATATCAGCAAATCAAATTCAGCAACATCTAAAAAGGATTATACACCATGACTAAATGATACGGCATTTATTTAACATCTGAAAACCAATGAATGTAAATACCTTATTAAAATAACAAAAGACAAAACCACATTGTCACCTCAGTAGAAAAAAAATTGCAAAACTCCAACACTGATTTCTGACAAAAACTTGCAATAAGCTAGGCATAAAACATGAAAAAGAGAATCTACAAAAAATCCTAAAGAAAACATCATACTAAATGGTGAAAAACTGAATACTTTTCTACTACGATTGGAAACAAGACAAGAGTGTCCAGTCTCACAACTTCTATTTGACATTGGATTGGATCTTCAGCAAAAAAAACAAAGATGAAGGTACCACACAACCTGACTTCAAAATATACTACAAAGCTATAGTAATCAACACAGCATGGTACTGGCCTAAAGTAATCAACACACCATTGGTACACATAGACCAATGGAGCCCAGAAATAAGCCCGCACATTTATGATAAATTGATTTTTGACAAAGGTGCCAAGAACGCACAATGGGGAAGTGACAGTCTCTTCAATAAATGCTGCTGGGAAAACTGGATATCCACATGCAGAAGAAGGAAATATAAAAATTAACTCAAAATTGATTAAAGATTTAAATATAAAACCTGAAACTATAAAACAACTGAAAGAAAACCTAGAGGAAAAGCTCCATGATGTTGGTGTAGGCGATGTTTTTTTTTTTTTAATATGACCCCTAATGCAAAAGCAACAAAAGCAAAAACAGACACATATTACATCAAACTAAACAGTTTCTGCACAACCAAAAAAACAATTAACAAAGTGAGGAGACAACCTAAAGAATGGGAGAAAACACTTGCAAACTATGCATCCAATAAAGAGTTAATATCCAAAAGATATAAGGTACTCAAACAACTCTATAGCAAGAAAACAAATGACCCAACTTGAAAATAAGAAAAGGACCTGAATAAACATTTCTCTAAAGAAGACATACAAATGCTCAACAGGGTATTTTTTTAAATGTTCAATATCAGTGATCATCGAAGAAATGCAAATTAAAACTACAACAAGATATCACCTAATACCTGTTAGAATGTATAATATTTAAAAAGACAAAAGACAAGTGTTGATAAGAATGTAGAAAAAGGTAACTCTTGCACACTGTTCATGACAATGTGAATTAGTGCAGCCATTATGAAAAGCAGCAAGAGGTTTCTCAAAAAATTAAAAATAGAACTACTGTAAAATATATACACAATACCATTTCTGGGTATATAGAGAAAGGAAATGAAATCAGTTTGTTGAAGAGATATGTGAACTCCCATGTTTATTGCAGCACTGTTCACAATAGCCAAGATATGAAACAACCTAAGTGTTCATCAATGGATGAATGGATAAAGAAAATGTAGTACATATACACAATGGAATACTATTCAGTCATAAATAAGAATGAGATCCTTACATTTGATACAACATGGATAAACCTGGAGAACATTAGATTCAGTAAAATAAGCCAGGTACAGAAAGATAAATACCACATGATCTCACTTATATATAGAACCTTCAAGAGTTAAACTCATAGAAGTAGAGAGTAGAATGTTGGCAGAAGGTTAGTTACCAGGGGCTAGGAGGTTAGGGGGTTGGGGAGGTATTGATCAAAGAATATAAAATTTCATTTAGACAGAGGGAATAAGTTCAAGAGGGCTACTGTACAACTTGATGGCTTCAGTTAAAAACAACATATTGTGTTTTAAAAATTGTTAAGAAAGTCTCAAATTTTCTCACAACAAAAAATAATATGTGACATAATGTATATGTTAATTAGCTCAATTGAGCCATTCCCCATGTATACATATTTCAAAACATCATCTTGTACACAGTAAATATATATAATTTTTATTTATCAAGTAGAAAATTAAATAAAATTTTTTAAAAAGCAGAACATTCTATTGAAGGTTCTAGCCAGTCCGATAAGGATAAATAATTAGGTGCATTTAGAAAAGAAATATAGAAAGGAATAAATAAGCTTATTTTTATTCACAGATGACATGATACTATATGTAGAAATTCCTAAGGAATCCAGACTCCCCTCTTACTCATCCCTCCTCCCCCCAGAAAAACTGTTGAAACTAATAACTGATTCAGCAAGCTTTCAGGACACAAGATTGATATAAAATAGTAATGGTACAAATTCTGCTTCATTTCTGTATGTTTTTCCTATCCTTGACTTAAGAGACAACTCTCAGTGCCAGTGAATAGTTCCATGATCATTCACTTAAGAAAAGGAATAATTTGGATTTTAGAATTTCAATTTGACACAATTACTTACAAAAAATAAATATTTCCCCATTCTCATTACTTTTGCAGAGATAAGAACAATTGTCAAAATTATCATTGCTAACAGTTGGTCTACAGCATGATTAGAGGCAAATGGTGACACAAAGTGACATCCCCCAAAACATCCCTCTAAAGGATTCCAAGGTCTGCTCATGAGTCTTACCACTCTGTATTCAGGTTTTGCTGGCTGCAGGACATCCCCGAAAGTTCTGCCTTTTGGTGCTCTATCCACAATACTAGGAATTAATGGAACTATTAATTGTTTGAAAAAGGGAGGTTCTGGACCTCTGCTCAGGTTGGCTACCGTGTCCTGGAACAGAGAGCATTTGTTAAGGAGTGCACAGGTAGAGTCAAAGACCCTTTCCCCAGGCCTCCAGACCCAGAAATGCCTGCATTAATGGAAGAGTGCACACACACATATACATACTCCAAGAGCTAACAACCTTGAGCAAAATAGGAAGGTAGCCTTGCTAAGCATGAGCCTAGAAATTCATAATTTAAACTCTTGTCACTGGGAGAAAGTTTTGGTCATAGGCAACTCTTTCATTCCCCTAGACAACATAAGGACAGTGACCAGAGTACAAGGTTGGAAGCATACTTTCAAATTGTCTGACTTTGTACAGGGGCCTAACATGCAAAAAGGTAATTATACCATGACAGTGTAATTATTATTTTAATTTTTAAAAAGTATTGAGCCACTCTCACCTGGAGTGAGTACCAAGTTTTTTCCTAGATTCTTGTCTGTGCTAATAAAAGAATATAATAAATATATTTTTAATTTAAAATTTAAGATCATCCCACATCCTGACTGGTTTAATCTATATTGCCCACAAAGTTTACCATTTTTAATAGTGTCATAAAAATACAAATCTCAATTTTCAAATATCCCTATATCTATATTAGGTTGGTACAAAAGTAATTGGCATTTTGCCATTACTTTCAATGAATATTTAACGCTCTTTATTCCTCACATTATAGATTTAATCTTTACAACTGCATATGAGATAGGTTATGTATTACCATTCCCATTTTGCAAATGAGAAAATAGGCTTAGACATATTCAGTGGTTTTTTTCAAGATCACATAGCTAGTTTTAAGGTGCTTGACCAGAAATTTGACTGTAAAACAAATTTCCACCAAATTAATTGCATTTTTCTTCATTGTCACTACAAAATTTGAAGAATCTATTTTCTTGGGAAGAACTATAGACCTATGAGCATAGTGACAGTTAAACAGTAGTTATCTCTAGGGATGGATTATAGTTTTATGCTTTTCTGTATAATCTGAATGACCTACAAATAGATTTGGATTTTATAATAGAAATAAATAAATAAATACAAACAGTTATTCAAAAAAAGTAACCTAAAACTGAGACCAAAATTATAATAAAATGAAAATAAATATCAATTGATTAAAATATGTGCAAAGAAATTATATAAAATACTGAAATTTCAAACACACAATCAGTAACTAATAATACAGGCATATGAAATTTTCAACGTTCAATTGATGCAACCTACAGAGACAACCATTTCATTCATTTCAACTTAATATATCCAAGCTCTTTCATTAAAAGGGCTTTATTTTCTTTGCTATGCCACAATTGTTTCACATTTTTTACTGAGGCTTACATATTATTATATAAGGGGCTGCTTATTATTTTAAGCTCTTTATCTTGTTTGTTGACTAACCTTCTGACATCACAGTTGCAGCTTCATAAACAACTGCATCCAAAGGGAAGATTTCCACAAGTGAAGTTCCTTTAAATCAAGTAAACTTGTTCAGCGGTATATATTTTAGGTAGATGCAATGTTTTCATTCCAAGGCACCACTATTTTTACATCAAATCTAAGCTTCCATTGATTTAACAACTCATATTATCTTTTGAACCACCAAGAAAGTAAAAGCATGCTACTAATTATAATAATAAGCTTCCTCTGATTGGAAAATGCATCCCAATTTCCAAGATATTATAATGTGGAAAATGGGCATCCTAGAATGCTGACCTACTCAACTTTTGGAGTGAGTGGGGAGAATCTGGCAAGGATTAGAGAACACAGGTTCAACTCCCAGGTGTAGTAAGCTTCATCACTTATCTTCAAGCCTATGTGCTCCTCTGAAAACTGGGGAGAAATGATATCTCCTTAATTTCACATGATGGTTGTAAAAATAGTGAGAAAATATATATGAAAGAAGCTGCCACCATGAAAGGATGTTAACTAGATCCAAAATTTGGAAATAAATTTTATTTATTTTCTTAGAGATACCACAAAACTATAAATTTTGTAAAATATAAAGGTTGTCAAACTGAACACTCGAAGCTAAGGTTCTCTTTCACTTCCCTCTGCATTTTCTTACCCAGACACAGACACATACAGACATACACACACACACACACACACACGCACGCGCGCATGCACGCACAAACAATATTTGATTACCGTAGCAATAGCCTTAGCAAGGTTTCTGAAGAGCTGAATGTAAGCAGATAATGTGTGCGGTCCATAAATTGTCGATGCTGCCTCATATCGCTGAGCCTGCAGGAAAGGCAGGGAGAGTTGTATATGGTTCTGCTTATTTAAATCCATTTACAGAGGTGTAGCATTTTGGGTAAGTGTGATGCTTGACATCTCACATTATTCAAAACTGGCACAATCTTCAAGATTATGTATGACAAAAGAGGATGGGCATTTCCATTTACTGGCCAAGGTAAGTGACTCCTATGGACTACCTGTTAAAAGCAGTGGGTTCTCTCGGCTTATGCCATTTAGACTGTCACTCTATTTACTATGAAAGACGGTGCTAGCTCCTAAGCTTTAGTCTATTATAAGTACTTGTAATATAAGTGCTTTCCCCCAGGGCATATATCAGAAGAAAAATAAAACAAAATAAAGAGTCCTAGTAACTTCTGGATAAATAGTTAGAAGGTGCTAACTGGAGAAAGACATTTAATCCATCACAAAGCCATGAAATTGAGCCAAATGCATCTTTTAGCTGACCTCCAGGCCTTTGGTTCTTCTACAGGAATTTCAAAGTTATCAAATCTAAAACCAACCTCACCACTTCAGACATACCAGCTTCCTCCACAACATTCTCATCTCAGCGAATGTCATCTTTCCAGTCTCCCATGTGAGGATCAGCCGGCAGTTACCTTAGACTCCTCTCTCCCTCATCCTGTATCCTATCAGTCTCCACATCCGGTAATTCTGTCTCCTTCAAATCTCCTGAGATCTTTCATTTTCCTGTCTTACTTTCTCCTAAGGTACAAATAGATTTCACCTTAGTTCAAACCCTCATTTCTCACCCAGATCTCTTTTTTTATATTTGTATTAGGTTCAGAGGTACACGTGCAGGTTTGTTATATAGGTAAATCACATGTCATGAGGGTTGGTTATACAGATTATTTCATCATCCAGGTAATAAGCACAGTACCTGATAAGTAGTTTTTTGATCCTCTCCCTCCTCCCAGCCTTCACCCTCAAGTGTGCATGTTCATGTCTTGCCCAGATCTTAATTACACTATGGCTTCTTAATCAGTCCTCTGCCTATACACAAGCCCTTCCAATTCATTTTCTACACTGCCATCTATTGACCTTTCTAAATCACAAAATTTTATCAAAGCATTCTCTTGCTTAGAATCCTACTGCAGTTCCCCCAAAGCCTTCCTTACTGAGTGAAGGCTCAGTAGCATAGCATGCAAGACTATCCATCAGCTAACCTGTGTCTCCCACTCTGGCTACCATCTCCTTACCATCACCCTCCGCATACTTACTCCATGCTACTCAACGAATTGTGGTCCATCAATGTGCCTGCCCTCTGGACCTTTGCATATATCGTTTCTTCTATATAGGATACATTCTTACTCTTTATTTGCTTAACTCTCACTTGTTGTCAAGAACTCATACAGATGTTACATCTTCCTGAACAGTCCCAGTCCTCAAATACCCAGTCTGGGCTGGTGCTCTTTCTCTTTATTTTTATAACACCTTGTGCATGCCTTTCATGGAAATGTAATCATCTGTTCTTTTTTCTGTCTTCCTACTAGACCCCCAGCTTCCAGTGATCTTGAGGGAAGGGACAGATTCTTTTCATCATTATGCCCCAGAAAGTGGCTAGCACAGTATCTGTCACAATACATATCTGTTGAATGAATGAAGTAATTAATAGTAATACTTGCTGGAGTATATCCCTGTGATATGGACAGGAGACAGGAAAATATTGGGTAGAAGAGAGTGGTTCCCTGGCAAAGGCCCCACCCTTAAGCCTGGAAACCTGTGGCCCTAAACAAGAACAAGCATTTCTGCTTTTGCAACCAAACATTCCTGTTTTGCCTTTTTGTTCACTACGCCCCCCTATCCTGTACCCATATAAACCCCAAACCCCCAGCTCCACAAGCAGACAAGGAGATGAACAGAAAAGCAGAATGGCAGAATGGCACAGCAGAGAAAAGAGAAGGAGCATCTGAACTCTGAGAGGAGTTCGGCTGTGGATGGTTGGAGAAGAGATTGGCCACTGGACAGCCAAACTCCAGGGGAAGATCATCTTCCCACACCATCCCCTTTCCAGCTCCCCATTCATCCCACGGAGAGCTACCTCTACCACTCAATAAAACCCTGAATTCATCCTTCATGTCTATTTGCAACCTGATTCTTCCTAGACACTGGACAAGGACCTGGGTACCAAGAGGGCACTGAGCTGTTTAACACTTAAGCTATCTGCAGACAGCAAAGCTAAAAAAGTGCACTGTATGTAATACATGCCCACTTGGGCTTCTGGAGTAGCAGGCACCCATACCTAGATACTGCTGCAGGGACCACATGGAATTTGCTCCTGCCAGCACCCAAAAGCACTTACCTTGGCTCCTGCACCTGCCTGTCTGTATGCTCCCCTTCCCATTAAGGGTTTGAGCATATACAGCAGCCAAACAGATGAGCCACACCCCTGTTGCACATACTGCAGGGGGGTTCAGGGAACTTTCCCATCTCACCTGGACCAGGAGACAAGCTAGTAGGGGTTCCTAACCTTGTTTGTGACATGGACTCCTTTGGCAGCATGTTGAGACCTAAGGACCTCCCTCAGAATAATGTTTCTAAAGGTGTAAAATAAAATACATGGAATTGACAAAGGAAACCAGTTAGGTTGAAATATATTTACCATACTATAATAAACCAATGTTGTGATACAGTAATGTATGTGCTTCTTTATTATGCTATTGAATAACAAGATATATCTGTGGATCTAATAACTATTGTGATTATAAAATAGCAATAAGAGTAAAAGACATTTCTAGACCTGCAATCACTGTATGTGATATGAAAATATCTGTGGTGCCTATTGGTGACAGAGGTACTGCTAAAATAATTTGTTTGTTTCCTATATTTATAATTGACTGAAATGCTTAATAATAGTTAGAGGTAGTGAAGAAAGGATGTAATTCTTCCTATCCAAGTTTAGCATCATTAAGATCCCTTTTTCAATGGGAATTCCTAGAAGGCAGGGACCTTCAGGAAAGCCAACAGAGGGTAGCAGGGCAGAGTCTACTCTTAGTATCACTGAATATTTACCAAGGGGTAGACTGTATGCCTCTGTATGCACTGCTGTTATATACCAGCAGATATATTATTAACAGAAATTATTAATTATGAGACTCTGGACTGTTTTCATGTTTTACTTAAAAAGTACTTGGGCTGCTTTCTGGACTATTTATAAACAATGAAATATTACCAGCTACCAGCCTCCCTCAAACTCTCTGGGACTCTGTTTCTTGATATATATCAATATAATAACACCCTACTTCTGGATATACTGTGAGGATTACTTTAAATAACATTTGCAAAGTCTTAACCAGTGCATTCAATAAACAGCTACTAGTAGGAGTTTTCTCCAGTGCTACAGAGGCTTAAGGCATCAAATGCATTAAGAATAGTGTTAGAAATGTTTTATGCCACAACCCAGGCTTGTTACCAATGCCCCTGACAAAATAATTAATTTCAGGGAAAATGTAAGTCAGTAAAACTAGAATTCTGACCTGGACTTAAAATGATGTATTTGAAACTCTTAAATACGGCCTCTGGCTTATCATCCTCTTACCTGTTATACCTGAAACATAATCATCTCTCAGAAACATGACTGGGAAAGTTTACAAAGCAAGTCTGCATTTGACACAATAGTCTTTACTGGGGTATAATTCATTTAAATGATGAAAACGTTTTGCTTTACCTGGTATTCTTCATAAGTGGTAATGTAATGTGTATAGACGTTGCATAGACCTGAAATAACAACAGTCATGTTCTGCATCCCATGAGATGCAAATTCCTAGGAGAGAAAGGTAAAACCCAATAAAATTACTCTTCATCTTTACGTATATTTTCATTCTGTTATCCTTAACACACAAGCATTGATTACACTATTAGTTTAAGATATTTTTCTTAATAAAATTTTTCTAACTCTGCACTACAGTTGGACAAGTCAATGGATCTACAAATACCTTGATGATCACAGTTGCAGATGTAGAAACTTCTTACTACTAAAATAGGGATTTAAAAAATCAACTTATTACAAAATCTAATGGGTGGCTATTAGCTAACCAGAATAGTAATTTCCAGCGCTAAGTAACAAGACATTTTTGACATGTCATTTTAGAACCATTTACAATACTGCCTGAATATAAAGAAAATTCAAAATACAGCACAGATAAAATACAGAATTCCCAAAATGTAATACATTTTATTTAGACTGTTCACAGGAATTTAAGATATTGAGGTACTTAGAGGTTACTTAGTATTTAATGTATACAAACATTATCAAATTTTAAAATATTAATACATAAATACCAATAAAATATTTTTAACCTAATGATAATGCCCTTATGTTTTTTAAGTCTGGTTCTTATACTACCAATATTTCATATTAACCTTAGCCATTAATTTCAAGAAATGTGGAACTCTAGATATAGGATCATAGGGATAGGATATACTTTCCTCTTCACCAAACATGAACATGTAGATATGTTATTTTATTTTTAACTTACTGCTTGAACTGCCTCTCGAAGTCTTCGTCCAGACATGGTCCTGAGTCAAGAAAAAAATTATGTAAACGTTTTCCTACTAGACGTATGCAGAGTACACAGAAACACTGGCAGTGAAAGCCAAAAAATTACCCTGGCTCATCACACAATAGTAAAATATGTAGGAACCCAATGACTATGAAAAGCTAAACTTGAACTTTTTTTCTGCCTGTCCTAGCTTCAAAATAAATCCTAAACTGAAAACAGTCAATTTGACTAAAAGAAGGAAACAGAATCAGTGGTTATCACTGGCAAAAATCATCATTATTTTCCATTCTTGAGTCAACAAAATGATCAGTTGCAGTCTATGTTTATAAAAGCTGAGGTAGGTAGAAAATACATTACTGTATAAGTGTAATAAAGCCAATGTGGCTGAATCAGAGGTGAGTAAAGGGGAGAGAGGTAAGAAATCAGATATGAGAGCTTGATGAAGAACAGATCATGTAGGAGCTTGCAAGTTTGAGGATTTACCTGGAATGAAATGAGAAGCTACTGGAGGGTTTTGAGCAAAGACATGTTATTATTTAATTTATACTTTAAAGGGCTTAATCTAGCTGCTGTGTTGAGAAAAAAAAACTGCAGAGGAGTAAAGGCAGAATGAAGCAGACCAGACAGCAGGTTATTTCAAAAATCTGTGTAAAAGATCGTGGTAACTTAGACCAGGAAGGGAAGTGACAGAAGGTGTTGGGTAGAGTGTACAAAATTTGCTGAAGAATTTAAAGAGGAAGAAACAGAAAAAGAGGGAATTCAAGGATGACTCCAAGAGATAGGACCTGCTGGAAAGATATAAAATTGCCAGTTACTGAGATAGGAAGACAACATATCAAGGAGTTTTAAAACATTCTTCCATGCTTTTAATACCTAATCTGATTATTTCAAGTACCTGTATTTTAATATGACTGCAAATCTTTCTACTGATATAATAACTCATGGCATCATTTTAATTTGGGATAAGTTTTTTTTAATTTTCATGTCTGCCTCAGGTGAGCCATCAATAATAAGCATAGAGATAGTTATTCTTCAGAGGCCCCAGCAAAAGAGGGTAGGAATATTTGCCACTGTCACCAAACAGTACAGTAGGATACCAAGGGGTCAACACAGAATGATCTTTTCATGATAAGAAGCAATTCCAACAGAACATACAACAAACACATTTTTAACTAAGTAATAAAAAGAAAAACTTACGTAAACTCCCCGGGGATGGCAGTTATGGCCAAGGACCCAAGGGTAATAATCTGAACATCAACAATGTCTGGATGCCAGGGGTGAGGTTTTGATAGCTGAGAACCCAAAACAAGAAAATTATGTTAGGGATAACACTCTCTCTATGGTCAACAGACATATAGTGGTCCCAGAATTTCCTCTAGTTTCTAATTTATGATGTAGTATTAAATATTCTATATGGGCATTTATGTCCTAGTCATAACATGAGAATTTCAAATGCCAAAGCCCCATTAACCTGCAGAAATCAATGAAGTTTTTGGTGGATCTGTCATCGTGAAATCACAATGTGTAACAGATAACCAAACATTTTCCTAGAGTACTGTTGGTGACTATTCTTATACACAATAAATAAGGAATTCCATTTGGAATAGTTTAACTTAATAATTTCTCTTTTTATTATAATCGCACTTTAAGTTTACAGTTTCCAAGTCTTACTTTATTTTCCAAGATTTCTCCCAAGAGAATTTAACCCTTTCCTTATTCAGAATACTATAGCCTGTCCCTCTATTCCTTCCTTTCCTCTCTTCTTTCAAGAATTTTAATAGGATATTAGGGAAAAATGTATTTTTAAAATGCTTCTAACTCAACAATCCAAGTTTTTATGAATACTGAAATGACCTTTTGACATTTAGAATGCAAAATATATGTTTCAAAGGAGTGTAAAAGAAAATTGCTTTAGTTGATAATGTTGCCTGAACTGTGAGAAAATTTAGACAGGAACATGTTTTGTTTTAGATGACCTGAAATATTTTCTTCTGCAGAAAATTTGGTGCTGACTCCCTTCTTGGAACCAACAAAAATAAATTCTGAGTAAGATAAATGTTCATCTTATTCTGCCTTTCCCACTGTCCTAATTGTTGTATTTATTAATCATAAGTGCAATAGGTAAATCAATATAATTCATTGCCATAACCTTCATTCCTTAGAGTCATGGAACCCATTTTTTAATATTAAAAACTTGATATGGGAATATCTAAATAAGACTTCCCATCTCAGTAGATATCTACCATTCATTACCTGACAGTTCACATATTTAAAAATAACAATATGCTAATTTCACTATGATAACGAAAATGCATTACTTCTCCGGTGTGAAGAAGGATGGGCTTTGGTTTATGACATTCTTTAATTTCTTCAGATGGCTTTCCCAGGATCTGGTCCCGAATGGTGTCCCAAAATGGATCCCCTTCTGTTTTCCCTATTAGAAATGTTATAATTAGTATACTTCCTTGAACCAACCCTCTCAAAAAAGTCATTATCTTGACAAATATTGTACAATAATCTTTTAAGGAGTTTCAGAGATTTTATTGAGGTTGTTGTTCAATGATTCCAAACAGTTTGAGTAATAGAATAGGAAAAATGTCCTGTGCATCCTAAGACATGAGCCATTGTTTAATTAGATCTTCAGTGTGGTCAAGAGAACGACAGAGTATATTTTGTCAATGTCCTTAAAGTTTTGTTTCTATTACTCCTGCTCATTCATGTTGCAAATAAAAACAGTTTGACATAATTAACTGCAGATTTGTGGACTAAATCACTTTTTTCCTGTTTTGAAAATGAAAAATTACGCCTCCAACTCACAATACCAGTTGTCTGACTTATGGTCCCTGAAATAATTTCTCCTGAATTTAGTTATCTACACACACACACACACACACACACACACACACACACACACAAAGCAGTAAAAAACAAAAATAAACTTCATATGCATAATCTGGGGTAAAAGGTTTTGTAACTATAAAACTTATGAATTAAGAATCTATACTCTATTCAAAAAATGTAATAATTATAAATGTCTGTGTAACATAAACTGAAAACTCACAGAAATGAAGAAAGAAATACACATTTCAGTAACAATACTGAAATTTTCAATAACCCACTCTCAATCATGGATAGAACAACTAGGCAGAAGATCAACAGAAAACTTGAACTAGACCTACCAATCTATAGAATACTCCACCCAACAATAACAGAATATACATTCTTCTCACGTGCACATGAAATATTATCTGTGGTAGATCATGTGCTGGCTAAAAGACAAATCTCATTAAATTTTACAAAGTAGAAATAATACAAAATATGTTTTCCAAATACAGTGAAATGAAATTAAAAATAAAGGAAAAAATGGAGAAGCTTGCAAATATGCAGAAATTAAGCAGTATGATCTGAAATAGCTAATAATCAAGGAAGAAATCAAAGGAAAATCTGGAAATACTTTATCATGAATGAAAATGAAAACACAACACATCAAAACTTATGGTATGCAGTGACAGCTGTGTTCAGTGAGACATTTATAGTTGTAAATGCCCATATATTAAGAAAGAAGAAAAATCTCAAACCAATAACCTAACTTCCACTTGAAGATATTGGAAAAGGAAAGCAAACTAAATCAAATGTTGAAAAAGAAGGAAATAATCAGTATTCGAAAGAAAATCAATTAAACAGTGAGTAGAAAGAAAACAGAAAAATCAATGAAACCAAAAGCTGGTTTTTTGAAAAGGTCAACAAAATTGGCAAAACTTTAGCTAGATTGACCAAGAAAAACAGAGAGAAGACTTAAATTATTAAAATCAGAAATTAGAATATTAATACTGACTTTAAAGAAATAAAAAGAATTATAAAGGAAAACTATAAGTAGTTGTACGCTAACAAATTAGATAACTTAGATAAAATGGAAAAATTTCTAGAAAGACAAACTACCAAAATTGACTCAAGAAGAAATAGGCAATCTAAAAAAAAAAAACTATAAAAAGTAAAGAGATTGATTCATAACACATTTTTAACTACTTACAACAAATAACAGAGCCAGATTGCTTTACTGCTGAATTCCACCAACCAAAGAATTAGTACTAGCTTTTCCAAAACTTTTCCAAAATAATAGAAAAGGGAACACTTCCTGATTCATTCTATGAGGCCAATATTATCCTGATATAAAACCAGACAAAGATATCACAAGAAAAGAAAACTACAGAACATTTTCTCTGATAAATAGGACACAAAAACCTACAACAAAATACTAGCAAACTGAATACAGCAACACAGAGAAAGAATTGTTATAGAACATGACCAACTGGGATTTATTCCAGGAATACAAAGTTGGTTAAACATTCAAAAACTGATTAATGCAGTACAACATATTAATATAATTTTTTAATTACATGATAATCTGAGCAGATACAGAGAGAAATATTTGCCAAAAAACTAATACCATTTTATGATAATAACACTCAACAAACTAGGAATAGAAGTAAATTTCCTCAACCTGATGAAGGATTAAAAACCCAGAGCTAACATTATAGTTAATGATGAATGACTGAATGCTTTTTCCATACTATTAGGAACAACACAGAATATACACTCTTTTTACTTTTATTCAACATTGTTCTGAAGGTTCTAGGCAGGCAATTAGGCAAGAAAAAGAAATAAAAGGCATTCAGATTGGAAAAGAAAAATTAAAACTATTAATATTTCTATTTTAAGATGACATGATCTTGTATAGAGAAAAATCCTAAATCATCCATTAAAATATTAGAACTAATAAATGAGTTCAGCAAGGTTGTAGGATATAAGGTCAATACAGCTATCTGTTGTATTTCTATACATTTTCTATGAACAATCCAAAAATGAAATTAAGAAAAAATTTCCATTTACAATAGCATAGAAAAGAGTGAAATACTAAGAAATAAACAACAAAAAATACAAAATTTATTTTTTGTATTTGTCTTAAAATTACAAAACATTGTTGAAAAAAATTAAAGAGGGTCTAAATGAATCCTAAAACATCTATGTACGTGGATCAGATTACATAATATTGTTAAGATGGCAATACTCCCCCAAATTAATCTGTAAATTCAATGATATTCCCATCGGAATCCCAGCTGACTTCTTTGTAAAAATTTACAAGCTGATTCTAAAATTCCTGTGGAATCTCAAGAAATTCAGAAGTCAAAACAATCTTGGAAGAGGAGGACAAGGTAGAAAGACATACTTTCTGATCTTAAAGGAAACAATAACCAAGAGACGGTTATACTGGCACAAGGTTAGGCATATAGATCAATGGAATAGAATTGATCATCCAGACATAAAGCCATGTGTCAACTAATTTTTAACAAGTGTGCCAAGATTATAGAATGGGTAAATAATAATCTTTCCAATAAGTGGTGCTAGGATAACTGAATAGCCATATGCAAAAGAATAAAGGCAGGCCATTACCTCCATGATACACAAAGTTTAACTAAAAATGGATCCAAGACTTAAATGTAGAGCTAAAACCATAAAAATCTTATAAGAAAATAGGGGGAAATCTTCATGACATTGAATCTGGAAAAAGATTCCTATATATGACACAAAACCATGAGTAACAAAAGAAAATTTAGACTTCATAAAAATTAAGAATGTTTGTGCTTCAAATGATACAATCAATAAAGTGAAAAAACCTACAGAATGGAAGAAAAAAAATTTTTTTTGAGACAGAGTCTCACTCTGTTGCCAGGCTGGAGTGCAGTGGTGCAATCTTGTCTCACTGCAACATCTGCCTCCCGGTTTCAAGCGATTGTCCTGCCTCAGCCTCCCGAGTAGCTGGGACTACAGGCGTGCACCACCATGTCTGGCTAATTTTGTATTTTTAGTAGAGACAGGGTTTCACAATGTTGACCAGGGTGGTCTCAATTTCCTGACCTGATGATCTGCCCACCTCAGCCTCCCAAAGTGCTGGGAAAATATTTTTATATCACACATCTGATAAGGGAACGTATACAGAATACACAAAGAACATTTATACTCAATAATAAAAAGAAAAATAACCCAAATTTTAAAAGGAGAAAACTACGTAAATGACATTTCTCCAAGGGAGATATATATGTGGTTAATACGCACATGAAAAGGTGTTTGACATCATTAATTATTAGGGAAATGCAAATCAAAACCACAATGAGATATCCCTCCACACCCACTAAGGTAGCTAGATTCAGTAAGTCAGATAATAACAAGTATTGGCAAATACATTAAAAAATCAGAAAACTATACACTGCCTGTGGAAATGTAAAATGGTGCAGCCATTTCAGAAATAGTCTGGCAGCTTCTCAGATGATTAAATATAGAGTTATATAATCCAGCAATTGCACTCCTAGATATATACCCAAGAGGAAAGATGAAAACAAACACCCACATAAAAATCCCATGAATATTTATAGACTATTTATAGATTCATAATAACCAAAACATGGGATAACCCAAATGTTCATCAACTGAGGAAGGTTTAAACAAATCTGATATGTTGATACAATGGAATATTATTCAACCATAAAAAAAGAATGAGGCTGGGAGCAGTGGCTCACACCTGTAATCCCAGCACTCTGGGAGGCTGAGGCGGGCGGATCACTTGAGGTCAGGAATTCCAGACCACCATGGCCAAATGGTGAAACCCCATCTCTACTAAAAATACAAAAATTAGCCAAGCGTGGTGGCAGGTGCCTGTAGTCTCAGCTACTTGGGAGGCTGAGGCAGGAGAATAGCTTGAACTTGACAGGTGGAGGTTGCAGTAAGCTGAGATGGTGCCACTGTACTCCAGCCTGGGTGACAAGAGCAAAATTCTGTCTCAAAAAAATAAATGCATGCTACAATATCAATGAACCTTTGAAAGATGATGCTAAGTGAAAGAAGCCAACAAAAAATGCCACATATTATATGATTCCATTTGTATTAAGTGTCCAGAATAGGAAAATATGGAGACAGAAATATTAGTGGTTGCTTAGGTCTGGGGGCAGCGGGTGCGGTACATGGTCATGTACAAACCTGGAAAACCAGCAGACCCTGAGTTTAAAAATTAATAAATGTATTGGCTACAATGAAACCTGATCAGAGAACAGAACCCAGAAGCTTCAGAAGCTGAAACCATAGATTTTACTGGACTTCACCTTACCCTGTGTAAAATTGAGGCCTCCAACTCCATCAATAGTGCCAGCTGCAAAACTGTAGCCCAATGCTGGTTTACATGTTTTTGACTAAAGGAAAAGTTTTAAAAACAAAACAAAAATGAAAAAGACAAAAGTTAAACTGAAAGTAAATAATGAGATCAAACCAAAACTTCACCCTTGGGGCATAACCAGTGTGTCTCAGCAGCACTTACTGCATGTGTGGAATTGAGCCAGACAGTCACATCTGTCATATCCACCCACTGGTGTGCTGAAGCCAGTGGTCCTGTTACCTCCTGGGAGGCAGAGGCATAGAGTTCCTAGAAAACACACAGGCTTATTATTCCAAGCAAAAAGGCTAAAGTGATCATCTCCAACTGTACTCAGGAAGTACCAATTTGATGCAATTTGGAAATGCATCTCTCAGCAAAGCTTTTGTTTTGCTGGTTGCTTAGAATTGGCCACCAACCACATGGGTCTCTCTCTACCAAACCCAGGAGTTTCCCAAAAGCTTGAAGTCTCCGAGGCTGTTGACCTGTATCAACTCCCCACAAAAGTGAAATTATAGTGATACAGGCTGTGGCACAAAAGGCCTCAATCTCACTTGAAAGATCACCAAGAAAATTTAAGATTAGGAATAACTGGACCAAAATACTTTCTTTGCTAGAGTGAGAGTGTATCTTTGTGTGTTTTTATAGGGTCTTCCTTTCAGAATACTTGAGTCCTGCAGCAGGTTGGGGACAAAGGTGGCTTGGAAGACTTCAAGCCCTGCTTTGTCTGCAGCACTTCGCCCACCCACAATCCACTCTTCGGTGCTTTTGCTTTTGTGTTTTAATATGGTCAATTGATGCTTTTTCAATCTTATGGGAAACATGAGTGAAAACAAGTTTAAAAAACTCTTTGTTTTTATTAATTCGCATTATATAACATAGGCAAATCCTGTTTCATCAAACGTTCTCTTGCCTGACACTTAGCTCATTTCCACTCTGTCCCCACCCCAGTTTCAATGGCCACATGAGAGCTCTCATAAGTCATCAGCAAGACCAGCTGCAGCCTGCCACTCTTAATTAAGAGAGAAGTTGTGCCTTGCTGAGAAGAGAATGCAGAATGTGGGTCAAATCTCTATGACTCTCCGGCTCAGAATGGGAACAAAATTTCTGACACTAAAGTGTGTCATGGGTGCACACCCTAAATAGAATCTGTGAATTTAGAATAATCCACTGATAATACCACAGTAATTAAAAAGAAACTGCAGCGATTAGGCTGGCTGTTGCTACCAATTTTGTGTCAGATTGTTCTTTAAAGGTGCTTTTGTCCTTCCTTAGTTGCTCTTGAAAGATTTTAGAACCCTTGGAATAAACTATTTAAACACACACACACACACACACACACACACACGCAGCAAAGGTATGAATAAGCTATGAAAAGAAAGAGATTTAACCATATCAAGGACATCTCAGTTCGAGGTAATTTTTTTGTCTTTTTGCCTAGAAATATGTCTCCATAGAAGCTGAAACAAAATATGGGGACAAAATGGGAAATAAAATTTAGGAGGGGGAGGAAATCAGAGTAATTCATAGTAATCTCACTGGAGACCAGATTTGATGAAGAGAGCTTCATCAAAAAGTTTTGTAAAAAGAAAAGAATAGCTGGATGATCTTTGCATATTGAAGAACACCAGGAACTAATCTAAATCCAAGTTTCAAGAACTGGAGTTCTATGGCTCAGCTTTCTCTTGTCACCAAAGGAAAAGTTAAGAGATAGTTGGGTGACTTTTGGCAAGCAAAGGCCTTAAAGACTTCTGAGAATTTGAATCAATCTGGTCATATCTAATGCCACAAGAAATTGAAAATCTTATAGTCTATGTTCCTAGTGTCTAAGCAAGCACTCTGGCTTTCTAGACATTCTAAAATAGAATGTTTTCCTGATTACTTGGTTTTAAATGTACTTCCTATAAGAAGTCAGACCTGAGCAGTCAGACAGAGGTTCCCATGTGGATTGCAAAGGCCACCTCCCAAGCTGACCTCTTCTAGACTCCCCAGCACAACCTGAGCATTTGCTGTTTTCTTTAAGTATTCAACTTCCTAATGAACCAAGTCAATGGATTTTAAAGGACAATTTTAAACAAAGATTAAAGGAGCGAGGCCCATGGCTTACCTTTGCTCTCTGATACATGGCCCGTCCTATAATTTGTGTGCTGTCAAACATATCCTGTCCAGGTCCCTTAGCAATGCACATGCTAGGCTGGAACAAAATAAGATATGATGCATTCTTGGCCAAGTAAGAAATTATTTTAAGGAATAAAGAATTATAACTGAATCTAAGCAAATAGATTTTTAAAACCACATTCTTGCATTTCTTTTCAGGTAGTCTCTCAAAGTACAAACTATAAAAACAAAATCATACCTGGAATTAGAAGAGTGAATGTCTTTAGAAATGATCTATTCTGGAGCCTTTCTTTTAAAAATAAGGAAATTGAGGCTCAGGTTAAAAGATGTGTTGCTGATTATGCAGGTATCTAATATCTGAGCTAAGACTTGAAGCCAGGTCTTTCTATTGACTGCACATCTTTCTACTTGCTTGTTCTTGCCTCTGATTCTTACTCATGATCACCTTAAACTGAAACTCGATTAAAATTATATTGGAACAACTAGCTGGACTTCTGGGGAAAAAAATCAATAAACAAATCTGGCTCTATTTCCTACTTCTTATGTCAGAAAAAATTGAGATTGATCAAGCACTTAAATATTATAAGTGGAATCAAAAAATTACTAAAAGAAAATATGGATAAACATATTTTGTAGTATGAGGGTGTGGGCAGACCCTCCTGAAAGTTATCTAGAACAAGCTTAGTTAAACTGGACAGGTAAAACATCTTAAATTTCCATAGGGGGCAAAAGACATAAATAAGACAGAAAGACAACTGATAAACTTTAGGAAAACTTTGTACTATTTTGACAAAACTAAGACTTTAATATATTAGGAGCTTTAAAAAGTCGATAAGAAAAAAATCTTTATTAATACTGGTTTAACCCCATTGGGTGGAGTTGACTGGGATGGAATAAACATCCCAGAAATAGTATACAAAAAAAGCATTATCACAGGTGAAATGTTCTACAAACACAAAGAATAAGAACCCAAAAAGTAGCATCTACTGCTCATGTCAAAGTTGAAAACAAAGCTAAATGAACATTGTGGGAGTTAAATAAATGATGGTATAGCCTAACTTGCTGTCTTTAAAACATATCACACAGATCTGGATATACTCATTGAAAAGTTTCTAAGACAAATTAAGTGGAAAACTCAAGTCCTGGATACAAAACTCAAAATCCATAAATAAGTCATATAATGTTGTTTATGAATGCATAGGTAAATACATAGGAGGAGGTATGAGAATAGTAACTTCTGGGAAGAGCAAAGTATAGAGGAAAGGGAGGCGAAGAGGGACTTTCACTTTTTACTATTCTCTGTACTTCCACATTATTTGAATTTTTACAGCAATTTTTTTGCTTGTAATTTTTAAGAAAGGAGAAGCAATTTAGGTCTTATATTAAAAACCCTATAAACTTTATAATCCATGAGAAATGTCTCAGGCAGGCAATTTTTACTACAAACTTGTGACTTTCGAAATGCCAAAGCAAAATGTTTCAGATTGAACAAGTTTGGGGAAGGGTAGAGTTAATCTCTGACAGTTACTGAATTGTCTCACCATTCAAAAACCTTAACAGTCACTCAAATGGAAAAATATAACTTCACTCAGTTAAAATTTACTGGGTTTGGACAGGTGCTTTTGAGAAGAGCAGATGCTAGGGAGAACTAGGCCAGTGTATACTAGAAGACAAGGTATTTGTAAATTAATGATAAATATTCAAACATAAAATGTATTTGAGATGCAAAAACAAAGATTTCATGTGTCATAATTACCTACCCCACCAATGGGACAAGTGCTATTGGCGTTATCACAGGACTCTCCTGTGTTGATGCAACGTGGTCCAAGAATGTTGGGGGACACATCTCCTAGGTTTGATGAAGCAAAGGCTGCTACAAATGGCCCCTGCCAAAAGAAATGCCAAGTTGCCTTTTATTCTTTCCTATTTCCTGTAATGAATGCCATTAGAAATACAAACATTAAATCCACTCTGGCAAACTATTCAAAATCATTTGCAGGCAATAAAAAGAGGATATAAAATATTCTGTAGGTTGCCTGTTCACTCTGATGATAGTTCCTTTTGCTGTGCAGAAGCTCTTTAGTTTAATTAGATCCCATTTGCCAATGTTGGCTTTTGTTGCTATTGCTTTTGGTGTTTTAGTCATGAAGTCTTTACCAATCCCTATGTCCTAAATGGTATTTGCCTAGATTTTCTTCTAGGGTTTTTATGGTTTTGGGTCTTACGTTTAAGTCTTTAATCCATCTTGAGTTAATTTTTGTATAAGGTGTAAGGAAGGGGTCCAGTTTCGGTTTTCTGCATATGGCTAGCCAGTTTCCCCAATACCATTTATTAAATAGGGGATCCTTTGTTGCTATTGCTTTTGGTGTTTTAGTCATGGAGTCTCTACCCATCCCTATGTCCTAAATGGTATTTGCCTAGGTTTTCTTCTAGGGTGTTTATGGTTTTAGGTCTTACATTTAAGTCTTTAATCCATCTTGAGTTAATTTTTGTATAAGGTGTAAGGAAGGGGTCCAGTTTCAGTTTTCTGCATATGGCTAGCCAGTTTTCCCAACACCATTTATTAAACAGGGGATCCTTTCCCTATTGCTTGTTTTTCTCAGGTTTGTCGAAGATCAGATGGTTGTAGATCTGTGGTGTTATTTCTGAGGCCTCTGTTCTGTTCCAATGGTCTATATGTCTGTTTTGGTACCAGTACCATGCTGTTTTGGTTACTGTACCCTTGTAGTATAGTTTGAAGTTAGTTCAACCATTGGGGAAAACAGTGCGATGATTCCTCAAGGATCTAGAACCAGAAATACCATCTAACCCAGCAATCCCATTACTGGGTATATACCCAAAGGATTATAAATCATTCTACTATAAAGACACATGTACACGTATGTTTATTGCAGCACTATTCACAATAGCAAAGACCTGGAACCAACTCAAATGCCCATCAATGATAGACTGGATAAAGAAAATGTGGCACATATACACCATGGAATACTATGCAGCCATAAAAAAGGATGAGTTCATATCCTTTGCAGGGACATGGACGAAGCTGGAAACCATCATTCTCAGCAAACTAACACAAGAACAGAAAACCAAACACCACATGTTCTCATAAGTGGGAGTTGAACAATGAGAACACATGGACACAGGGAGGGGAACATCACACACTGGGGCCTGTCAGGGGGTGGGGGGCTGGGGAGGGATAGCATTAGGAGAAATACCTAAGGTAGATGATGGGTTGATAGGTGCAGCAAACCACCATAGCACGTGTATACCTGTGTTACAAACCTGCATGTTCTGCACATGTATCCAAAAACTTAAAGTATAATAATAAAAAAAAAAATCCAGAAAAAAATATTCTGAGAAAACTTTTTATTCCTGTAAAGGCTCACATTACAGTCGGTATACATATTATTACTGAAAATATTCCAATTATCACTGATTCAAGTGGGAGAGTTTCAAATTATGCCTCAAACAGAAATATTTTAACCAGAAACACTGTGTGCAACAACAAATTATAAAATGCTGACCAGTCAATCTAGTCTATTGTGTTTTATCTGGAGCTCAGAGATCCCTTTGCCCTTTAAAAATAAATATGCTCTTGGCTTAAACAGAAAAAAGCAAATACAGACTTTCCTGTTGCACAATGAAACTAAATATACCATCCACAATCTGGACTTGCCCTTGATGTATATTTTCTCTCTCTCTTCAACATAATTAGAGCCATGCAAGTCCTCTGCCTCAACCCAACCACTCTACCATTCTACCTTAAATGGCTCTAATTTTCTTAGGGAAAGAGATAACTAAGTATTGGAGATATAAATCTTTTTTGATACTAAAGAGATAATTTATTTCATAGTGCCTAGCACTCAGGCAGTGATCATAAATAGAAAACTCTCTTCTTTTCCCTAAAATGCAGGCTAAAGTGAGAAAATAGTAAGAGTGAGTTTTGCCAACAAAGGAGCTTGCTTTGGTTTGGATGTGGTTTATTCCTGCCAAAACTCATGTTGAAATTTGATCTCCATTGTGGCATTGCTGAGAGCTGTAGCCTAGCAGGAAGAGACTGATCCCTCCTGAATAGAATAATGCCCTCCCACAGGATGAGTGGCTTCTCACTCTCTAGGGAATGGATTGTAGTAGTTCTTGCAAGAGCAGGATTGTTAAAAAAGAGCCTGGCTTCTTCAGTTTTTCTCTCTTGCTTCCTCTTTCACATGTGATCTCTTTGCACATCCTAGTTCCTCTTGTTTTCTTTCTTTTTTTTTTTTTTTTGAGACGGAGTCTCGCACTGTCCCCCAGGCTGGAGTGCAATGGCACGATCTTGGCTCACTACAACCTCTGCCTCCTGGGGTCAAGCAATTCTCCTGCCTCAGCCTCCCAAGTAGCTGGGACTATAGGCACACACCACCATGCCCGATTAATGTTTTGTATTTTTAGCAGTGACGGGGTTTCACCATGTTGGCCAGGCTGGTCTCGAACTCCTGACCTCATGATTCACCCACCTCGGCCTCCCAAAGTGCTGGGATTACAGGTGTGAGCCACTGCATTCGGCCTCCTCGTCTGTTTTCTGTCATGAATATTTATGTGCAATATTCTGAGAAAATTTTTATTTTATTGGTAATAGCATGAGGCCCTCACCAGATGGAGTTGTTCAGTCTTGAACTTTTCAACCAACAGAATCATGAGCCAAAATAAACCTCTTTTCTTTATAAATTACCCAGTCTCAGTTATTCTGCTAACACAAAACAAACTAAGACAGAGCTAAATGATCAGGCTGAATGTTAATGGAAGCTAATATCTTTATAAGGGAATATTAATTGTAGGTAAGGGCCTGGGACTCTTATCCCATTATATAGTCTTCCAAATTTGGGCCTGGAGCAGTGGCTCATGCCTGTAATCATAACATTTTGGGAGGCCGAGGTGGGCAGATGACTTGAGGTTAGGAGTTCAAGACCAGCCTGACCAACATGGCGAAACCCTGTCTCTACTAAAAATACAAAAATTAGCTGGGCGTGGGGGTGTGCACCTGTAATTTCAGCTACTCAGGAGACTGAGGCACAAGAGTTGCTGAACCTGGGAGGCAGAGGTTTCAATGAGCTGAGATCGTGCCACTGCTCTCCAGCTTGGGTGATAGAGTGAAACTCTGTCTCAAAAAATAAAATAAAAATAAAAATGGTGCTTAATCCTTGTATAGCTCTAAAAACAAAAGTAAATATCAACAGTTTGTCATATTTTCAGCTTAATCAAAACCTACTGTTATAAAAATCTTGAACTTTGCCCTTCCTTATTCAACTAATAACTTTATGAAGCAATGAATATAAGGACTATGTAACACAAAAAGCAAATGGTTAGTACTCATTTTTTATTTTTCTTTCCACATTAGGGAGGATGGTAAATGCTGTCTATTCAAGCATACCAATATGTGAGATTGATGATGACACTTTATTCTGGAGATTTGAATCACCTCTTCTGAATGCAGCATGAATGATGACACTCAGTGAATCAAGATGAAGCTTTCAATGATATAAATTCTCACCTGTCCAGGTAGATATCCTTTGTTCTTCTCTTGCTCAAGCAGGTAAGATGCATAGCCCACATTGTCACTGTTTACAAGATGGTTACTGTTGTTCATGCTGACCGGGTGGATGGCAAACCAGCTGTAAAAGAGCAAGAAGCTCTAAATTAATCAGGAGAACGAGAGAACTGGGGCCAAGAACTATGACTGGGAGCTTAAGTTTTCTCCAGCAGGAAAAAATATTTTTAAATAATAGACATTCTACATCTACATTCTTTCATTGTTCATGGGCTTAAAAATACAATGCAAAAAATGTACTCAAGAAGTCTGATCATTTTCTTAAATTAAAAATACAAAACTCCATTTTCATGACTATTTCATCATTGGCATCATCATTGGACTGGTCAGTTACCAGATGACATACCTAAAGAACTGTATATACATGGACTTTGTCCTTCAAGATAGGCACACAGGTAGTAATTATTCAAATTTATCCAATCCGACATTTACTAAGGGTTACCTGTATGCTAAGCACTGAATAAACTGTGGTTTACTTTCAGAATCTCACCAAAGACACAGATGTGAACAAATGGCTTTAACACAGTGTGACAAACGTTGCGAAGAAACAGGCATAAAGTGTTCAGGGACCACAGATGACTAACAATTAATTCTTGTGGGCATTACAGGGAGAGGAAACAGCAGGGTAAATGCACAGAGGTGTAAAAGAGGATGTTAGGCATAATTCAGTATATCCTTATGCCTAGTAATACCTTGTTTAAGTGTAAAGTTATACAGTTTACAAACTAATTTCACATCTGTTACCTTATTTGAACTTCACACAACTCTGAGAGACAGGCTGTTTTACCTCTACTCTGCATAGGTGACCCAGAGAAGCAAAATAATGGTCCACTGTTCACAGAGGCCCAGGACTCAAGTCTGGGTCTTGTGACACCGTGTCCAGTGGCCTTTGTAGGCTCAAACCCTCACACAGGTGAAAAGGATATTTACAGAGTGGAAGGCAGTAAAGCAGATTAACTGGAACGCTCAAGAAAAGAGAAATGCTAATTCATAAACTGTCAGGTTAACTTAGAATTTAAAAAAAAAATTGTTGATTCAATTCTTTGTTGAAAAATCTTTAAACGTTTTTGCTTACATTCCTACCTAAGCAATGTAATGCACAAAACTAAGCATCTATTTAATGGCTAGAAAGGGATTAGGACTTCAAGATCATCTTTCAAGCATCAGTTCTTATTGCCTATCAGAAGCAGATGTAGGGCAGAGGTGGCCTGCTCAAAGCCCATTGGCTCTACGCAGGCAACACAAATGAGTCATGCTAGTTGGTACAATAGGGACTGGTGTGGACTGTAGAAAACTTGCAGTGTCTAAAGTTCACAGCCTCTACTCAGCTCCAGCCAAGTGTTGCCTTATGGGAGTATAAACCAGTGCTGCCAGCTCTTCTCCTTTATTCAAAAGGGGCCACAAATCCATGTTTTCATATGTATTTATCAACTTTAAAATTCTTCAGGAAGTAAATGGCATGGAAACAAAGGACGGGAACTGCTATACATTAAGAGACTTAAAACTTGTAGCCAACAAATGTAGTTTGTGATCTGATTCAAACAAAACAACTATTTGAAACAAACAAACAAAAAAAGACTTTTTGATATAATCAGGGAAGACCGAACACAGATTGGGTGTCAGATCATATTAAGAAATTAATTTTAATTTTGTTGGTTGTAATAAATGATTGGGGTTACATATTTTTTAAAGTCTTTATCTGATGAAGATAAATACTGAAATATTTATGAGTGAATTGTATCTAAAGACACATGGACACGTATGTTCGTTGCAGCACTATTCACAATAGCAAGACATGAAATCAACCTAAATGCCCGTCAGTGATAGACTAGATAAAGGAAATGTGGTACATATACACCGTGGAATACTATGCAGCCATAAAAAGAACATTATGAATATGTCCTTTGCCGGAACATAGATGGAGCTGGAGGCTCCATTTGTTACTCTTAGCAAACAAACACAGGAACAGAAAACCAAATACCACATGTTCTCACTTATAAGTGGGAACTGAATAATGAGAACACATGGACCAACAGATGCTGGGGCTTATTGGAGAGTGAAGGGTGGAAGGAGGGAGAAGATTAGGAAAAATAACTAATGGGTACTAGGCTTAATACCTGGGCGATGAAATAATCTGTACAATGAAGCCCCATGACACACATTTACCTATGTAACCAACCCGCAAATGTACTCCTGAACTTAAAATAAAAGTTAAGTTTTTAAAAAAGAAGTATATAATGTCCTGGTATTTGCTTTCAAATACTCTAGCCAAAAAAAAAAAAAAAAAAAAAAAAAGTGAGGGGAAGGATAAAACAGAATGACAGAGTCTTGCTAATTATTGAATCTGGGCAATAAGTTATATGGAGATTCATTACATTAATCACTGTAGGCATTCGAAAATTTCTATGTAGTTTCTTTTTTCATGTTGGCATCCATTTTGAATTTTTCAAAACACAATGTCAAGCCAAATCACCAATGAGTGAGCTGAATTCAGTCCCTGACATGGCTATTTGCCCCTGTGCTAAGGAATAAACATTTATTGGGCTGAAGATATTCTAAGAGTCATCCCCTCGCAGTTATTTGCAAGGTGTTTACATTTAGGAATATTCTTCTATTAGGTTTGTGTGTGTGGTTTTGTCTCTTTCTCTTAGAACTCAAGTATCAGGAAATTCTAATCAACTAGTGTTTTCCAGTTACATGGATTTTGCTTTTTTGGAGTTTCTTTAGTTTGGAAGAAAATGTGGTGGTAGCATTTTGGCTTCCCAACCAAAACATTTCCATCTGATACCATCACACTGAGGTCAGCCAGCTTCAGCCAACACTGAATATTTCCATTACAATCAAAGAAAAACCATAGAACTATTCTGCTGACATTATTTAGCTCTTATTAGACAAAGGACTTTATGTACAAGATCTCATTTTATTCTCACAGGGAACCCTTTGAGTCAAGTACTATCATTATCTTCATTCTGCAACTAAGAAAACTAAGTCCCAGAGTGGTAACGTTACCTGACCTAGGTCACACAATGGTAAGTCAAGAAGCAGAGCAATGAATTCAGGTTGTATGTGTGTGTGTGTGTGTGTGTGTGTGTGTATAGATAGATAGATGATAGATAGATAGATAGATGGATGGATAGATAGATAGATAGATAGATAGATAGATAGATACAGATAGAGATAGAGATATATGCTCTTATCCACTGTGGAATCCTGGTTCTGTCCCTTCTCTTCATTCACTTGCTCATTCACTACACATTTGGTTAACTTTGACTCTGTGCCAGCCACCAGGAACATAAAGATAAATGAGGTATCATCTTGGCCTTGAGACATGCTTCACAAAAGAAGTGACACTTGAGCTAGGTCTTAAAAGATGAGGAAGAGCTACGCAAAGGAATCACTAGATAACGAGTACTCCTAGCAGAGGAAATAACATCTGCAAAGGCATGGAGATATGAAGGAGGGCCCTGTGTTCAGAGAATGGATAGTCAGGGCGGCCAGAGCAGAATGGATATGGACAAGGAAAGATGGCAGCTGTATCATTCATTCAATCAGAGTGAATTTATTGGGAATCATGTTGATTGGCATTGTGTGAAGGATCGTAAAGAGGAATCAGATGCATTTCCTACCATCAAGGACCTTGCACAATTGGCCACAATGGTAACTATGGAGAAAGCATGTACTAAGAATTTCACTCTACTAGTTAGATATAGACTTGATTTCTTCTTCTTTTGAAAAAGTGTCTCACTCTGTTGCCCAGGCTGGAGTGCAGTGGTGCAATCATGGCTCACTTCAGCCTTGACCTCCTAGACTCAAGTGGTCCTCCTACTTCAGCCGCCCAAGTAGCTGGCACTACAGATGTGCACCACCATGCCAAGTTAATTCTTTTTATTTTTTGTAGAGATGGGGTCTCACTATGTTGCCCAGGCTGATCTCCAACTCCAGAGCTCAAGCGATCCTCCTGCCTCACCTTCCTAAAGTACTGCTTTTACAGGCATGAGCCACCACACCTGGCTTGATTTCTTCTTTATTCCATTTATTTTAAGCCTCAGAAAATAAACTGAACTTTTTCTCTAGAAAATTAAAATAAAATAAGTGTTCAGAAAAAAGTTATTTAAATTGAAGGAAAGGAAGATGTCATATTTTTCCTCCATTGTCCTTTGAAATGTGCACTATTAAAATAGCAAACTTGTCACAGCAACCAAAGTACTATAGTTATGGATGAATATTTATAAAGATATGCAGAAAGGTGATCATTTTAATTTTAAAACGCAGTACTTATATTTTATTTTATCTGGCCAAAAAATATTTTTCCAAGCAAAGTTCAAAAGAAAGGAAGAAAGCTTTAGTTTCAGAAGTTAAGAATTCAGACATAAAAGGATGAATACATCTCTAATAATAAGCATTTTTAAATAATGCTTATGTCACAGCTAAATGTAAAATAGGAAGCAAGGTGCTACGTGAATCAGCATGATGTAATTAAAAATACAGCAGAAAGTCAAGAGATTGGGGACCTTATCCTAGTTTGTAGCAAAATTAGTCAAAATTTCTGGACTAAAATTTAAAAATTATTGAGACTGAAAAATAATAGATTTCAACTATTATAGAATCAGTAAACAACATATTAATATAAAACACTACAATTTTTTTTTCCTTCTGTGTAAAGGAGGCATTTGGAGAAAAAGATCTCTAGTGATTCAGACATTGCATGTGCCCTACTCTGAAACAAAGGTAAAAGCAGATTCCATGCACTCAGACCTGGGCCTCCATGTCCAGTGTGCAAGCTGTGCCCTGTACAAAGAACACTGGCAAAGGGGGTAAGTAGGTGGTTAAATCCAGCCTCTGTGCAGCTCACTGAGCCTGGCACTTCAGCCAGCCCAGAAAAGAGGATGCGTTTGTGTAACTTAGACAAAGGTTCTACGTGCTAGCATGGCCCTCCCCGACCTAAACGCCCACAAATAGGGAAATAGAATACTGTGTATCCATTCAAAGGTACGTTCATGAAGATTCATAGCAACATGGGAGCTCTTTAGGAAATAAAATATAGGAGGCTGTAATGGGTTGAATAGTGTCACTCAAAAATGCATGCTCATCTGGAACCTCAGAATGTGACTTACTTGCAAATATGGGTTTTATAGATGTAATCAAGGTAAAGATTAAGTGATATTATACTGACCGCATGTAGGCTCTAAATCCAATGACTAGCATCGTTACAAGAGGAAAGGAACAGAGAGAAACCCAGAGACATAGAGAACAAGGTGATATGAAGATGGGGGCACAGATTGGAGGGATGTGTCTACAAGCCAATGAAGCCAAGGATTGATGGCAACCACTAGAAGCTAAAAGAGATGCATGGAACAGATTCCCCCCTTAGAGCCTCCAGAAGGAACCAACCCTGCTAATGCCTTGAATTTGGACTTCTGGCCTCCTGACCTGTGAGAGAATAAATTTCTGTTGTTTTAAGCCACCTAGTCTTTGATAATGTGTGGCTTCCCTAGGAAACTAATACAGAGGCTAATATTGTGTTACAGTAGCTGAAAATACCAGCTCTGGGGTCAGACATGAGTTACTTAATTTATTTGAACCTCAGTGTTCATACCTGTAACATAATGATAATAGTAGTACCTGCATTTGACAATTAAAATAACTAATACATGTGAGGTGCTTAGCACAAAGACTGGCTGATACCAAGAATGGAATAAATGTTCACTACAAGAATATTGGTGATGCTATACTGATACTACTGCTGCTGCAGCTGCAGATGATGATAATGATGATAAAGGAAAGAGATACAAAGCTCTGAGCATAAATAAATATATATATATACAAATATATATATGATTTGTAAGATTAATACAATGTTAAATATATGGGGGCGGTGTTCAACATTCGCAACACATGTATATTCAACCCACATGGTATGGGCATGAAATGATTCAGTGAGGATAGCCTGCCCTCTTGTGACAGAGACGTGAGTGCTCACAAAATGCCCATGTGCTCTTCTATTTCCCAGTCTCATTTGCAAGGTGGGGCGTGTGAATACCTCTGACTAATAACATGTGTGCAGAAGGACTACCCAATCTTCACTAGACTTTCCATGAGTGGAAAATAAGTCTTCAATGTGTTAAGCCACTGGAATTTCACATTCTATCTTGTGTGGCACTTGCCATTAATTACCTTCACACCCTCGTTTTCACTCCCTCAAAATCATCCTCACCCCAACCCACTGCAAACTGTTTGGAGAAGAAGAGGAAAGGGTGTTTCATTGTCTTATACTGGAAGGATTATTGGGCCCAGACTTTTACCTAAAAGGCAAGCTAAATTTTAAACCAGCAGAAGAAAAGAATACACACCGGACTGCTCAGATTTTAAAAAGATAATGAGCTCTAGCCAGAAGAGCCCTCCTAAAGTTACAGGCACACCTGGGACAAGCATCCTGCAGAATATTTCTACCAACTCCACCCCAGAGAAGTGATGTACGTTCTCAAGGAATCCTTTTGTTATCTTCAAAAATCCTGAATGAAAAAGACCTTCTAAATAACAATATTGGAGAAATATCTCATTAGGGTAAATTCCATTAAGTTACAGCAGTCAAAATCCTTGCACCATGCCTTTAGTCCCAGCACTTTGGGAGGCCAAGGCAGGAGTTTGAAACCAGCCTGGCCAACATGGCAAAACCCCATCTCTACTAAAAATATAAAAATTAGCCGGGAATGACAGCGCACAGCTGTAATCCCAGCTACTGGGGAGGCTGAGGCAGGAGAATCACTTGAACCCCCAGGAGGCAGAGGTTGCAGTGAGCTGAGATCACGCCACTGTACTCCAGGCTGGGCGACAGGGCGAGACTCTGTCAAACAATAAAAATTAAAAAATTAAAAAATCCTTGCACATTACATGGTAAGTGCAACAAGAAACAGGAAATGGCCAATAGACTATTGTTTTTTTATTTGAGCCAAACCGTGAATTGAAGAAATTCAAAGGAAAACAACAGTGATTTGACTTTTTTAAGCCTGTTACTTGGCAACAATTGTAAAGCATGGTCATACTAAGATTGGCAAGAGTATGACAAACAACATTCTGCTCAAGTTTGAGTAATGGGAGAGTAAACCAACAAAGGGGTGTTGGGCAATTTATAGGAAAAGCTTTAAAATATAAACATTCTCTTTGGCTCAGGAATCCCATTCTAGGAATTTAGCTTAAGGAAATCATTGGCAAATATGTATCTGTTCAAGAATGCTTATCATAGGCCGGATGTGGTGGCTCACAATTGTAATCTCAATACTTTGGGAGGCCGAGGCGGGCAGATCACCTGAGGTCAGGAGTTTGAGACTAGCCTGGCCAACATGGTGAAACCCCGTCTCTACTAAAAAACTACAAAAATTAGCCGGGTGTGGTAGTGCGCACCTGTAATCCCAGCTACTCAGGAGGCTGAGGCAAGAGAATCGCTTGAACCCAGGAGGTGGAGGTTGCAGTGAGCCAAGATTGCACCACTGCACTCCAGCCTGGGCAACAGAGCAAGACTCCATCTAAAAAAAAAAAAATGTTTATCACGATGTATTTTATGATGGAAAACACTGTAAACAATCTAAATAACAAATGATTGCTGATTAGTTGAGTACATTATGATACATAGAATGGAATACTACATGGCAATTTTTAAATGGTGATTTAAAAAATACTAACTGGCATTGAAAGATATTCATAAGGTATTGCTAAATTAAAAATAGAGTTAACAAACTGTAAATATAATAAAATCCCACTTTTTAAGAAAAATATTATAAATGTGCTTAGAAAAAGTCTGAAAGACTATGTAACAAACTTTTAATAGAAGCTGGCTCTGAGTGTCAGGATCTCCACACGATTTTTTGACTTTTTAATTTTTTTCTTACTGTGGAAATTTTAGAAAATATATAAAAGAAAAGAAGATTTTAAAAATTACTTGATACAACACCAAGAATGAACCCTAAGGTAAACTATGGGTGATGATGATGTGTCAATGTAGGTTCATCAGTTATAAGGAATGTACTACTCTGGTTGGGGATATTGATAGTGAGGGAGGCTGTGCATGTATTGGAAGAAGGTGCATATAGGAAATCTCTGTACTTCCTGCTCAATTTTGCTGTAAACCTGAAACTGCTTTTAAAAATATAGTTTATTAATTAAATAATAATAAAGTCTATTGAAAAAAAAACTATGCCCAGCACTGGCACGGTATCATTTCTGCATTGTTCTATTGTTCAAAGCAGTCACAGGACCAGCCAAAGTTCAAGAACTAGGAAAATAATCTCCACCTTTTAATGGAGAGTGGCAAGGTCACTTTGGATAAAACATGGAATAAGAGCAATTGTTGTGTTGTTGCAGCCATTTTTATAAACTACAATCTGCCATTTAAATATATATTTTAAAAATAGCTATCAATCCAAAAAAAGTAAGAGATGAGAAAGGAGGAAAAAGAAGCACTGAAAAGGTGAGACAAATAGCACAAAGTGAGGAGATACAGAAAAGTTCAGATATAATAATCACAATTCCTGAAAATACACTAAATTCACTTAAAAAACAATGATTGTCAGAGTACAAAAGAAATAACTAAAGCTATATGATATTCATAAGAGACACCCTTAAAATGTAAGAATAAAGAACGGTTCAAAGAAAATGATAGAAAAATATACATGGCAAATTCTGGGTTAGCCACATTAACAGACTATGTAGACTTTAAGACAAAAAAAACACATTATTAGATAAGAAGAGGATCACTGCAAAAACAAACAGATACTTGTTTTTGCAGTGATGGAGATAACATTGTTAATATTTTTATAGTATTTTAAAGCTTCTAGTGCACAGTGAGTGAAACCAAGTGAGCATTCACGTTTACAGAATGAGCTTTTAGTCATGTGTATTTCTTATTATATGTTCCACATAGAAAAATGAACAGAAGCAAATGCACCTGAATATTAACCATGATTGATTCGAGGTAGTATAATTTTAATTTAATTTTTCCTTCCTTTCTACTTTCTTTATTTTTCAAGTTTTCTATGGTAAGCACACACTATTTTTATACTGAAAAAAAACTTAGAAAAAAAAAATAATCTCCCAGATTTTTTTCAGGTTAAGTAAGAACTTTCCAGAAATCTAACAATCAAGTTGTCCAATATCTCCAGCCAACTATTTTTTTATGGCTTTGGTTTCTAAACTTGGGACAATTTAAACTACACTAGGCTGATCAATCTTTGTTATCAGTCAACAGTCACCATCTTGGTCATCTAAAAGCCCTTTTAGGCACCTTCACCTACGGGGCAGGGGAGAGGGGTGAACCTGACCCAGGATGAAAGCTCACTTCACAACCATGACCAAGCTCCACTGAAGAAGAATACAGGCAAACAGAAAGTAAAGTTAGAGCAGGAAGACAGCATCAAGCTTCACAACATGGAGCGGAACAAGAAAAAGAGGTTCAGTGAAAGATATAGAAAAAGAAAGCAGGGGCCAAGCACAGTGGCTCAGGCCTGTGATCCCAACACTCTGAAAGGTCAAGGTGGGAGGATCCCTTGAGGCCAGGAGTTCAACACCAGTCTAAGCAACATAGCAAGACCCTGTCTCTATTTATTTTTTAAATAAAAGCAATAAATAAAATAAACAGAAAGGAAGGCTTTATAAATCAGAATTCATGCTAATGATAGAGAAGGCATTTAGGAAGACAAAGACAAGATGAGATGAAAAAAAGAGAACAAGAATGGTTTGGTAGAGGGCAGTCACTAAGGTTTCAGCATTTGCAATTTGAGTGGGGTTAAGTGGACGGAGGGGAGAGTATAGAGTCAGAATACAGAAAACCATAGAGAATAAACAGTCAGACATTACAATTCAAGAAAAATAATTCAATTATTCTGTGTCAATTAAAAACAAAACAGTTTTATGTAAAAAAAGTTTTTAAATAAAGAAGTCATAGTCATAGATGATAGAGAAGATTTATATATATACTGCAACTGAGTTCTGTAAGTCAACACCATTTGAATAAATGAGTGTAATAGCACAAATAGGATTTTTTTAACTTTTTACACAAATGATTCAAATAGCTTACACAAATCACTGCCCCTGTCATCTTAAAAATATGCCTTTAAAGGGCTCCCTTACAAGACCACTGACTATAAGAATAAAAGGGTTTGCAATACATAAATAGAAGGCAGTGGAGAGGAGAGGAGAAGAGAAAAGAGGGGAGGAAGAAGAGGAGGAGGAGGAGAAGCGGGATGAGGAGCAAGGAGGAGGAAGAAGAAAAGAAGAGGAAGGAGAAGGAGAAGGAAGGAGAAGAGGAGTCCATGTGACTGCTGCAAATTCAAGGAAGAAAACTTGGCGGAAGAAAAGAGGAAGGCAAAGAGAAGAAAAGCAAGACAAAGCCTTTTCAGTTGCAGCATCCTTGAAGAAATAAGTCGGCCTCCTCACCTGTCTCAGAGCTGCCTTCGTAAGTGTAGCTATGTGAGTAGTAGCTCTTCCACTGACCACAACTACCACTCAGATTATCTGCACTTGTGACTTTCTTTTTGATGTAGACATTTGAAACCTGTTTTGCTTTCTCCCTTCATGTTTTCTTCACACACATAGTGTCTTATTGCATCCGAGACTCTCAAGGTTCTGTTTATTTTCCTCTATTGGATGACAGACTCTTTGAAGTACCTTACAGAGTCTCCCAAAGTGAATTTTGTAAATGTTACACAGCTTATATTTTAATTCACAATTCAGAACATCCACAACATGTTCTCCATGTCTGGAGAAAAAAAAACATTGAATGCTTTCATGTAAGGGGAAAAAGGCACAAAGATAGCAATATTTTTCTGACATAGAATTTTCTAACAGATTTTTCTGACATAGAGCAACTAGAGCAAATGGTGGCTTCACAATTGTAGAGGGCTTAATGGTTCATGGAATAGTTTCAGGAACATAATTTTATTTCATTCCTCAAGTCTACACTCTTCCCAATCCTTCGACAGCCCCAACTCCCAACCCAAGTTTGAAACACTTTAATGAGTTTTCATTCCTCTTGGTATAGAAAAACAAATTCTTTGTCATGCCATCTAATCTCTATTTCTTACTTTGTCTTGCAACACCCTGCCCTGTTGACCTCTGCACTCCAGCCACACTCACCTTTTACCAGTTCTTCAAATGCTTCCCCATTTGTGTTAAATGTTCTTTTCCAATCCCCCCATTTTGCCAGTTAATTCCTACTCCAGTTTCCAGCTCCCATTGCTGTCACTTCCTCAGGGAAACCTTTCCCAATCTCTCTGACAAGGTCAAATTCCTTTAAGAAAGTTCTACACACCTGCCTTTCTTAGCACTGAGCCCAATTATAATTTTACATGTATTGTATGCCTATCTGTATGCCTTCTGTCTCCCTCAGTAGACTGAAGTCCTATAAGGGCAGCAACTCCATCTATATTTGTTCATCAGTGTATCCCATAATAATCTCTGTGTGGAGAGAAGATATGATAGCCACATTTGAAAATACGGCAACTGAGTCTCAGAGAGTTTAATGGATTCATTCCAGTAGCACAAACATGGGTACTAGATTCCTTATTTCAAGGCCAGGGAATACATCATTCCAAGGAAGTATTGCGTGGCTCATAGTAGGTCCCTAGTGCAGACTTGCTGAATGAAAAACTGAAAACAAAAATGAGAGTAAGAAGGAATGAATTATGAACTCAAATATGGTTTTCATTGTGAAGAAGATAGTCTTGGCTGTGATGCTGGGCAGGTCACATCACCTTTCTAGGCCCTTGTTCCTCTGCTGAAGGTTAAACTAGGTCATCTCCATGCTCTGTGATTCTGAGTTGCTGTGCTTCCAAACTCCTCACACCTTGGGATTCTGTCTAACAGCAGGCATCTACATATGGTGGGTGAGTTACTTAGCAGCCCACATTTGACTTTATATTTTGGATCATTTTTAACGTATTCAAAGAGCAATTACACTATGCAACAAGAGGCAATTGCAGGAGCAATTACATCAAAGATAACATACGGCAGCTCAGAAACAATGGAAAGTTATTGCAGGATGTTAAGCACAACAGATGGAAAAGCTTTGCTATAACCTTGACAGTTGACCGAAAGACTTCCAGATACATGATACAATTGCATGTATGGAAGCAAAGAACATCTGGCCAAAATAATAGTATTTTTGAATTTTCTGTTCCAGTTATTAAATGATTCAAAAACTGGCCAGGTGCAGTAGCTCACACCTGTAATCCAAGCACTTTGGAAGGCCGAGGTGGAGGATCACTTGAGACCAGGAGTTTGAGATCAGTCTGGGCAACAAGCAAGACCCCATTTCTACAAAAAATTTTAAAAAATAGCCAGGTGTGGTGGTGAGCACCTGTAGTCCCAGTTACTAAGGAGGCTGAGGCAGGAGGATCACTTGAGCCTAGGAATTTGAGGCAGCAGTGAGCTATGATCACGCCATTGCTCTCCAGCCTAGGCAGCAGAGCAAAAGCTTGTCTCAGGAAAAAAAAAAAAAAAAAGGTTCAAAAACTACTAAAAGGGAATTGTAAATGGTCTTGGTCCTTCAGCCAAGAGTAAAATAGAAACTATAAGGGCGACTCTATCTCCTTGTCCCAACAAATTTGGGATACTCAGTGTAACTAGCAGAGATGTATGCTGTTATCCTGCCCTTCTTGTAATTGAATGCCCCACTAAAGTGCTCTAGAATCTGGACCTGTTTTACCTTTCCAGTCCACCTTTTACCAATGCCCTGACCTCACCCACACTCTGGCCTTATGGCTCTGTATTTTTCATGACTCCGTGAGAAATCCCATGACTCCTTGAAGGTCCAACTCAAATGTCATTTTCTCTTGGAAGCCTTCCACAGTGCTCTCAGGAAAAACTCAGGGCTACCTCCTCCAAACTCCCACAGCATTATTTATGCCCATGGGATAGCACTGCTGGTCATCTGATTCATGTTATGGTTACTTGTCTATATATTTGTCTCTGTCTCTTGCCCCAATCACCCCACCAGCTTGTGAGACCCTTAAAGATAGAAAACTTGCCTTATTCATCATAACATACCCCACTCACACAGTTACATGCCTGACATTTAGAAAGTGTGCTGAGTTAAATGCTAAGGGGAAACTAATCAAGAGATAAGTTGATTGTAGTAGAAGAATAAGTCCATTATGTCAGCCCATATACCAAAGTTTATTAGGGAGTTTTTAGTGACTTCACTTTTAACACAAAAGAGGAACTCAAATGCTAAGAATTTCAAGCATTCTAATATGCTGGTAATGGAATTATTCAGAAGAGGTAGAATATGTTTTCTATTCCTTTTTAGCTAAAATGATTAAGCTTTTTTCTATGTCAGGCACAGAACTAGAGTTTTGTATGCATTATCTCATTTAATCCTCAGACAACCCTATGGGGTATTACTATTCCCATTTTCAAATAGGATAGTTAAGGTCTAAGTGAATTAAGTTACTTTCTCCAGGCCACAGGGTTAGTAAGTGGCAGAGGGCTGGGACTTGAAGCCAAGTCAACCTTACCTCAAGACCTGAACTTTTTATTACCATGTTGTTCTCCACCTAGTTTTAGGGCCAACTGTGGTGTGTGAACTGTGAATCATAGTTTTTAATGTTTTTCTTCACCACTTTGTCAATTTTACTGCAAGTTTTATTCACATAGCATCTTTTACTTAGATATTTTATAATTCTACTTGGCAGACCCTTTGTCATCTTTCTAATCATTATTATCAACATTTTAAATACTTACTTTATCCTATGGTATGCACAAAAATGCTTAGGGATGAGAAACAGGAAGACAGGGTAGTCACAGAACTTGTCTAAAGTCACATTGCTAATAAGGACAAGAGCCCAGAGTGAACCCAAGCCATTTGACTGTAGCACCCAGCACTATCTGGTACTTCCCTAGGGCATGTCTGCATCATTTGCAAGTCCATAGGTCAAAGAGTCTGGAACCATGTTACCCACCCAGTCAATTCCTGAGTCAGGCCAGTTGCAGTAACCAAAATCACATATGAATGCAAATTCCTTATTTTCAAGAAAACAAAATCCATGTGTTTTCCTAAATGCTGTCACTCCCAGATAATTGTGCTAAAAGCTGGCCCCACCTGTAATTTTCCCTCACTTGCTTCCTTTAGGTGTTCTCAGTTCTATTTTATCCCTACTTGCCATTGTCCTGCATTGGACTTAATCCTTTTAGGGAAACACAGGTAAATAATCTCAAAGCCATAATCACTTTCCTGGTTGGTTAGATTGTTTTTTCATTTTACTAGGAGATAACTGTATACCATCATGGAAGTTCCACATGTGAGATCTTGATAACATAATAAGTGTTAATGTTTACTGAATTTTTGTATCATATGCGAGATGCTGTGCCAAGCTCTTCACCAAGATCTCTCATTTATCTTCCCTGTATTAAATCTGTTTTGTAAGTGCAGAACTAAGCCCTGAGAGACTGAGAACCCTGTACAAGGCCCTTGGCTGGACCCCAGTTGTGTCTGACTTCAGAACCTGGACTCTTAACCACACAACTTATTCTCAGTGTGTGCTGGTACTATTCTAGTCTCTTTTCCCTTCTCTTTAATTAAGAAAAGCTACCCGACAGAATTATTTTTAAAAAGGAAATACAGTACCTGATAAGGCCCAAGTCATCTCCATTCAAATCTACCATTTTCAAAACTATCATTTCCTTGTCTGTATTTGAAGAATACCTAGTCAGTAAAACAGAAAAGCACAGTCAGTTCTGTGTTAGAGCCTAACCCTCATGTAAGATGAACAGTAGCAGCTGACACAAAAACAAAAATGCCTCTCAGTAAGTGAGATGTCTTGACAAGCAGTAGTTCTGTGAACTGTATCCAGTACCTCATTTATCAGCTAAGGAAAGGCTATGCAATTGCGATCAAAGTTTGGGGGACTAGGTCAAGCGACTGGAGCTGAAATACACATATTTTTATATAACATACAATATTATATAACATATATGTATTTCTTACAAAAGGGATTTATTTGTCTTTGAAATTTCTACTCATATCAATTTTTAATGAAATCTCTTTAAAAGAGCAGGGAATTTGCAAAATCAAAAGCATTCAAGACCTGCAACTTAAGTGTTCTTTTATGTCTTCTCAAGGGAAATCAGATTACATTTTCTAAAAATCATCTCCTTTGAAAGCTATTGAAAAATATGCAGAAAAATGTTAAATGTCAAGTGGTCAAGTGGAAACTGTGGTATTATTTTACAGTGTTACAGTAACCAAGCACTTCTCTTCTGTTACAAACCTGGTTCATCACTTAAAAAAAGACAAAAAGGCAAAATAATCCTCTCCCTTAGTTTTTCCATTCAAATATGTGGGTTTATTTCTTACTCTTCTGTCCATATTCTTTATCCTTTTATTTTCTCTGTCTTGCCACACTCTTGTGGACTAAGATGATTTATTCTGGATAACACATAATAAAAGAGCTATTCATTAATTTAATAAATATGCATTGAGCACATTTTTATCTTCATTTTACTGATGAAGAAGCTGAGAGACAATAAATTAAGATAAGTAAATCACTAAAGGTCACATTGCTAGAAAGCAATAAAACTAAGCTGAGACCACAGTTGTTCCTGATTTCAAAGCCCAGAGTCCTTCAAACATCCACACTCGCTCCCATAATCAACAAAGTGGAAAGATACATTAATAAATTGGTGTTTGTTTCTACATTCACTTTTTGTTTCTGCTTGTTTTAGATTACACAGATGTTTTTAAGATATCATAGCTGTAATACTCTCTTGGGACCTCACCATATTCATCAAGTAACAGCCCTGTACTTAGATTTTGTTGCTGTTCCCTAAAGGGAATGAAACGATTTCATTTTGACGATTCCTCCTCACCTTGCTCTCTCTGACTGCGGATTTTGAAGGTAAGAATACGGACTTCTGTTGATCTGCACACCATCCACATTTCCTTTATTGATGAAGATTTTGCCTGGTTTCATATTTGTGTGTGCTATGTCAATGCTCTGAAGGTTAAAAAAGAGGGGGATGTTATAAGCTTAGAAATCCTGGTGGGGACAATAACTTAGTCAATATAAACAGAAGAGCCCTGTGAACAATTTCCTTTGTCTCTAATGGGTCCACATTACGGGATAAAAGCTGGAGAACCACATCGCTGTTGACAATCTGGAGGTAAACAGAAATGGCTTTCAAGGTTGAGATAAGGGAAATGCCGTGTTATACGGAAGCACAGTACTGATTAATGCCTGAGCTCACAAAAAGTCTCAACTCCTGCTCTCTCAGGACTGCTAAATGAGGTTCAGTTTGTCACTTCAGATAGCCAAAATGGGAGACTTGACTCCTACAACACTAATACAAGTTTTGCTAACATGCAACTGTTTCCACCTCCCTACCCTTGCCATTCTACCACCAAGGCAGAGTTGTTCAAACTTTTTTGACAGTGAACTACAGTGAGAGATACATTTTTCATCATAACTTAATACACATCAACATATGCATCCCAAAACAAAAGTCCACAAAGCAAACTATACCCTGACTGTGTGTCATACACTATATCTTACAATCTATTTTTTAGCATTTTTTATGTAATGTTTTTTGCAATCCATGAAATTGATTTCATAAGCCTTTAATACATTGAAAGCCTCAGTTTGCAAAACATCAATGTAAAGCAATTTCTGCCTATGCCAGCTGGATCTCTGAATTTTGGGGGTGACATTGTAAGAAAAAATAGAGAATAAGCCTGGAATACAATAAAATGAAGCAAAACATTAGCAAGGATCCTATGCAACAAAATAATAAGCTGAAAGACAGAAAAGAGAGGAGTATAAGCTACTGAAACCAGAAACAGGAGAGGAGTTTAAGGGTATTTGTCAGGAGCACCACGGAGGTCTGTATCTATACTAGAGAACTTGAAAAATTGGGATGTGTGTTTATAAGTTGGATTCTCTTTGTACTTTGGGAAATATTTTAAAATTTTAGAATTATTTGTAATTACTTTTGGCTCCTTCATGGGTTTCTCTTTGTGTGACTTTGTGCAAAGAACAGGCCATGTAGTGCCCTCTATAAAGAACCCCAAACCAAAATGTTTTCTGTCTGTTTAAATAACTACATTGGGCTTAGTCCCATAGAAGCCTTCTTTTCCAATCATCCATGCCTCATCCCTAACAGCCCATAGCTCAGAACAAGAAGCTAAGATAGAGTCAGGGAGGAGAAAGAATTGTACATGCTAATACTATGCTCAGACCCAAATCCTATAGGGATTCTTTATATCACATCCAATCACTCCTAAAATACCTGTAAGCAATGGTAAAGAACAGCTGCCTCTGGGGCTCTTTGCCTACCTTCAAGATACCAGTGACCATGTGCTGAAAAGTTTGATTGCTAAATCCTTCACTGGCAATTACAAACACGGTATACTGGAAATATCCTGCAGGACCTGAATGAGTGTGAGTGCCACTCAGGATGACATTATCTCTTCTGTACAGGGAGCCATATTTACTCTGCAGTCTGTTCAGGACCTTCAAGAAAAAAAGTAATTGAACTAAGAAGAGGGATAACATAGGAGCTCAACATGAGAAAAGGCTTTGATGAGTTCAATCACTGATCCATACCAATAACATCTGTATTAGTCCATTCTCATGCTGCTAATAAAGACATACCTAAGACTGAGTAATTTATAATGGAAAGAGGTTTAATTGACTCACAGTTCAGCATGACTGGGGAGGCCTCAGGAAACTTATAATCATGGCAGAAGGGGAAGCAAATATGTCCTCCTTCACATGATGGCAGGAGGGAGAAGTGCAGAGTGAAAGGGGGGAAAGCCCCTTATAAAACCATCAGATCTTGTGAGAACTCACTATCATGAGAACAGCAGCATGGGGGTACCCACCCTCATGATTCAATTACCTCCCATGGGGTCCCTCCCACGACACATGGGGATTATGGTAACTAAAACTCAAGATGAGATTTGGGCGGAGACACAGACAAACTATATTAACACCTCTTTCAAATGGCCCCTCACTGTATGTTTGAGGATATTATCATAGTAATAACAACAAAATAATAATAACAATACCTAACATTTTATAGATTCTTACTATAAGCAAACACAATGCTAGGTATGTTATATATATTATGTATTTAAAAATCTTTATTACAATTTCAAGAGCTACACAAGTATTGTTAAGCCCATTTTTAGCTGAGAACATTGAATTATACAAAAGTTAAATAATTTGCCTGTTGATCTAATAAGTAGCAGAGCCAGACTCCAGACCCTCGTCTAACTAGAGAACCAGTACTCTTATTCATTCATCATTCAACAGGTGCTCTAAGCAAAAGAATATATGAGGTTCTTGTCTTGAAGATATTTTTTTTCTAATGAAAGACAAAGACAGTAAGCAAGCAAATAAATATTAAATATTATATCATAGAGTGATAGATGCTATGAAGAAAAACATTGTTGCATAAGGAAAAAGAAAGTAGTGGGTGTTAGTGAGGAAAGATCTTCTAATGAGGGGCTCTCTTTTAGCAGAGGCTGAGATGAAGAAAGCAAGTCGGCTGTGCAATATCTGGGGGAAAAGCAACTCAGGCATAGTGAGCAGAAACTGCAAAGGTTTTAAGCTACTCTAGTACCTCATTTCCCAAATGAAGAATTCAGTGTGCCTTGAAACGAACTCTTAGACTTGTTGGTCTAGAGGATGCCATCCACTGTGATGCAAGGACACCCTAATAATCCTGTGGAGAAGCCTAAGTGGATAGGAAGCATCCTGTCAGCACTAACTTGCTAGCCATCTGAGTGAGCAACCTTAGAAGTAATTTCTTCCACCTTGGTCAAGCCATCAGAAAACTGCGGCCCTAGCCAGCATCTGAGTGCCACATCATGACACAGAAGTGATTACATATGACTTGTTCTAAAACAAGTCAGAATCGTCTAACCAAGCCACTCTGGGAATCCTGACACACAGAAGCCTTGAACAACATTTATTATTGTTGTTTTAAGCCACTAAATTTTTAGGCGATTTGTTGTACAGCAATAGACAACTAATACAAAGAGACTCAGTAAATGTTTAGTGAATGAGTTGATCAATGAACATCCAAATGCATGACTAATGTCTTCATATGGTGCATACACATCAAGAAAACACCAGACAGAATACTGGTGATGTTGCTGAGTATTTGTTGCTGATTATGCTTTAATAAGCTGCAATCTAAAGTTTGGTATCATTGTGTCTTTTTTGTGAAAGATAATTAAAAAATGACCCAGCAGTATGTAACACAAAGGATAAATGCTTGAAGGGATGGGTACCCCATTTTCCATGATGTAACTATTAGGCATTGCATGCCTGTATCAAAACATCTCATGTACCCCATAACTATATGTACCATGTACACACAAACATTAATCAAAGAAAAAAAAATCCAGCAAAAGTGTCAAACCCAAAGCAATTGTTAGCAATGTTTACCTTGAGTATGGCATAGACACTCTGATAAGCTGTCTCTCTGGAACATACAATAAAATTAAAAGCCCTCATTTGTATTGTTCACCAATTTCTGTGATGTAAAAACTCCTCATCATGATCAATTTCAAGCTACCAAAAGCTTAACAGCCAGCTCACAATGTTTCTGAATATTTACAAATTGGTTCTTATGAGCTTGTGCAAGCTAGTTCCAGCTCACTGCTGGTAAGTGGGGAGTAGCAGCTTCTATGCTATGTACTTGATATACATGAAGATAATCATTCAACCTCTTCTATTGCAGGTGAAGATCTACACCATTCTCATTCCAGTCATAACCACCTTGCCTCATTAACCTCTCCTTGTCCCAAAGACTGATTGTTTGGTTACCATGTCCACATAAGCAATTCTATGATGCAAGACAAATACAGAATGGAAGTATAATATAACAAGACTAACATCCTTCTGTATTCCTTCTCTTTGGTCCTAACTCCAGCCCCAATCCCCCACCACTCTCGCATATTATTCCATAATGTAACTACCACACTCATGAAGAAGAAATGTATAAAGAGAAGAGAAAATGATCAATGAAGGGACATCATGAAAGCTGAACTAAAGTCAGAAGCTGATGTTCTTAACAATTTGCAGCTAAGACAGGAAGGTAGTAGAGAAAAAGAGCCACGAGTCAACTTTAAAGCTCCCTAACCCCATCCTATTTATTCCTAAAGAACTGTGACATTAGGGCTTTAGAATTAAATGCATTTCTTCATGTCTACTCAAGAATCAAGCCCTTAAGAAGACAGAAATTATGAATCTTGAATTTTAAAACAAGAAAGACTACAAACGGTACACAGGAATTTTATTTTAAACTACAGTCTCTGATATGAAGCCAGACATATGGGACTTCTAGCGGGGAGAAAAAAGAAATACATAAAACCTAGTCATATAACAATGCCAGGAAGATAACCATTAAAAATAACGTGTTTCCCAGTTCATGAAAGGAGGGTATTTTAACACAGGACAAAGCAGCTACATTTATGTCTACCGCTCACTTCTGTCTTCAGTTTCTATTCCATTTCGTCTCACTGACACTCTTGGGAGCATGACACAGAAAAACCTAGAAAGTCCTTCTGTTTTTCTGTCATGCCTCACTGCACAGAGATCTTCCATAATCTTCATTCTGTGCTGGAAATTTCACCTATCTTAAAGCTGACACTGAGAACCTACATAGAAGCAGGTGTTATAAATAATATTAATGACACTTATTTAGCTACATTTATTTTTCACACCTTCCTTTGGGTTAATTTGGGAAAACTAAGTGGGTTCATTTAACAGCCTTCCCACTGGGTCTCAGATTGCACGGAGATGTAAAAATAGGAAGAGATAGAAAAATGGTGCCCACTATTGACTTGATAACACCTACAAAACAACACATTAAACTCCTCCCCACTCTACCCGCCAAAGTCTACCTTTTGGTTCTTTTATTTCTGCTAATGACCGTACTATTTCCCAATTAGAGCCATCTCATTTTTCAGAAAAGCAGTATAGTATAGTAGAAATGAGCATGAATTCTGACACCAAAACACTTAAGTTTGAATCCCAACTCTGACAGTTCCTAGCTGTGCAACCTTGGATAAGTTACTTGGCCCTCTGCAAACTTGGTTTCTCAATCTGTCAAATGACATAATAATAATACCTCCCTCATAGAGTCGTTTGGAGGAATAAGTACATTAATCCATACAAGGCACTGACAAGAGTTCCAGACTCAGCATGAATATTATGTTAAGTACTGGCTTTTATGTCTATTCATCTCCAAATCTCACATTTAATTTTTTTTTTTTTTTTTTTGAGTCAGAGTCTCACTCTGTCACCTATGCTGGAGTGCAGTGGAGTGATCTTGGCTCACTGAAACCTCCACCTCCCAGGTTCAAGCCATTCTCCTGCCTTGGTCTCCCAAGTGGCTGGGACTACAGGCTCCTTCCAGCATGCAACTGATTTTTGTATTTTTAGTAGAGACAGGGTTTCACCATGTTTGCCAGGTTGGTCTCGAACTCCTGACCTCAAGTGATCCACCTGCCTCAGCTTCCCAAAGTGCTGGGATTACAGACGTGAGCCACCACACCCGGCTGACTCACATTTAATTTCCTATCCCACCACCACGTAGTCTCACTGCCATCACATTGGTTTAAGATCTTTGTGCCAGTCTCACGTGATAAAGGGGGAAATTGTTAGGCAAAGTTACAAAAAATAAAAACCCTTCCAGCAACTCCAGCTTCCCTTTCTTGTTCCTTCAGCCTTTTAACATCTTGTAAAACTCCCCTGGGTGAAATCCCTCTGTTTGAAATACCTAGTATGATGATTACTGTTTTCTTAACTGGACCCTCACCAATAAAGCCTCAGTATCTCTTTAAAGAATCTGCTAATTTTTGTCCTCACTTCTAGTTCCACTCTATTCCAATCCATATCAAACATCCCTACCTGCTTAATCATCCTAAAACAAAATGGTGTTTACATCACTCCGCCACTCAGAAGATTTCTCAGAGTCCATATCACCCACAGAATTAAAAACAAGCTGGCATCTCAAGGCCCTCTGCAATTATGATAAACATATCTTCCAGATACATCTCCAACTACATGCCTCCATATGTCCTAATAGATCTCCTCTGTTCCCTCATGAAAGAGTCTACATCCCTCCTTTGTGCCTCTCTGTGTTCATTCTGTTTCTTCCATCAGATTTCTCTGCCTTCCCATCCTAACCATTTAAAATTCTGCTCACTCAAGTGTCATTTCCACCATGAAAATGTTTTCCTAATTTGCATTCCTGAATCCCTATTGGTGATCTTAAAAGACCATATGTCCACAAAGTCTCAGATATTTTGCCCTTCAAGAAGTAAAGCTTACTTTTTCACCACTGAGTGTGAGCTGGACTTAGTGACTTGCTTGATGAATAGAACAGGGTGAAAGTAACGGTGTATAACTTCTAAACCTGGGTCATACAATGCACTGTAGCTTCCTCCTTGCTCATTCTCTTGGGTCACTCACTCTGAGGGAATCTAGCTGCTGTGTCGTAAGGATAGGAAGAGTGAGGAACTGAGGCCTTTGGCCAACAGCCACATGAACAAACCATCTTGGAAGTGGACCTTCAAGCCTGGGTCAAGCTTTCAGATGACTCAACCTTTGCCATCACCTTGATTGCCATAGAACCTAAACCAGAGCCACCTAACCAAGACAGAATTCCTGACCCATAGATCATGTGAAATCATAAGTGTTTGTTGTTTTAAGCCACTATAGTTTGGGGTAATTTCCTACTCAGTAATAGACAATTACTATCCCACTGTACCTTCCTTTGGTTAATTATAGCTAACTGTATATTTCTGTGTATCTCTATATTTCATAGTCCTTCCTTCTATCCACCACCTAGAAAATGACCTCATAAGGGAGATGAATTGTGACATATTTAGTTGTGTGTCCCCTGAAGTGACACTAGCAAAGTACCTTACAAAAAGCAAGTGGTCAATGCATTTTTCCTTCTAAGAGTATAGAATAATGTCACTTTTAAGAATGTATCTGCTATAAAGACACTTGCACACATATGTTTATTGTGGCACTATTCACAATAGCAAAGACTTGGATCCAACCCAAATGTCCATCCATGATAGACTAGATAAAGAAAATGTGGCACATATACACCATGGAATACTATACAGCCATAAAAAAGGGTGAGTTCATGTCCTTCGCAGGGACATGGATAAAGCTGGAAACCATCATTCTCAGCAAACTAACACAAGAACAGAAAATCAAACACCACATGTTCTCACTCTTAAGTGGGAGTTGAACAATGAGAACACATGGACACAGGGAGAACATCACACACTGGGGCCTGTCGGTGGGTGGAGGGCTAGGGGAGGGATAGCATTAGGAGAAACACCTAATGTAGATGACGGGTTGATGGGTCCAGCAAACCACCATGGCACATGTATAGCTATGTAACAAAACTCCACGTTCTGCACATGTACCCCAGAACTTAAAGTATAATAAAAAATTAAAAAAAAGAATGTGGACTCTGGGATTAACCATACCTGTGTTCAGAATCCAGCTCTACCATTTGCTAACTGTGTGAAATTTGGAAAGTTACCTACCTTCTCTAAGACTCAGTTTTCTTATACAGAAAATGGAAATACCAACAAAGCCACCTCACTGTTTTGTGAGTGCAGAAGTGGGGAAAACACTTAATCCCTTTTTCCTCATGTGGGGATGCTTCCCACATGTGATGAGGGAGGCTTCCGCTCTCCTCCCCAAGAGGGAGCAATGTTAAAGTGATGCTTTTAGGCCATCTCATTATCCCTCTCACTGGCCCCTTCACACAGCAGGAGGAAAGTGTTTAATAGGTTAGACTAGTAGAACCTGACATTGCATGATGGACATTTATGATCATTGTTCTGGTCAATGCTCCAGCCGCTCTTCTTTCTCACATTCATGAATGTTAGCAGACATTAACAGAACACATTCTCTCTTAGTGACCTGATTCCATGCAGAAAATAGTACTGGGTCAGGGCTTAGAAATTGCCTTAGAAAGTTAGAACTGGAAGTTTATCGTTCACTGGCTTGGTTGGTTGCTTGCTCGCTTTCTATCTCTCTCTCTCTCTCCGTCTCCTCCTCCTCCTTTTGTATGGATGTGACAATTTCAAATTTGTACAAAAATAATCAGAATGCTATAATGAATCCCTATGTGCCTATTACCCAGCTTCTATAACTACCAATTCACGGTCAACCTCATTTCAATGTTGCGTTTTAATTCGCATCCGATTCCTCACATGTATTCTCAATTGTCTGAGAACTTGAAGAAGTGCTTAGTGATTAATGGGTGCTCTCCCAACTTCTAACAAGGAGGATTAAATAAGGGAATATATATATAAAAGTCACCTGGCACATTATAAGCTTTCAACAAAAACATTAGCATTAATAATGATGATGAGTCATCAGCAGAAGTGAAAGCAAATTTTGACCAAGATAACTTAGACTGAAATAGTGAAGATCATTTTCCTTGTAAGATTATCTGCTATATTGTCCAGAGCGTATAATATTGAAGGTAATAGAATTTCACTGAATGAGAAACCAAGAGGAATTATTTCCTGTCACATTCACCCACTTTTCCTTAAACCATATCATTTCTTCATTCATTTCTCCTCTCAAATCACTTACCTCCAGCCTGAGCCTTTGTGATACCATGCCTATGTCGATGCTGACAAACACTGTTCGATTGGACCCATCAGGTTCTGCCATGATGAAGGCACGACTGTATAGCCTGGTGAGGATGCCCTGTGCATTCTGGCCGGATTTGCCATAGCCCATCTAAAGAGGAAGAGACAATCAGAGCTGCTCTGTCTCATTCCCCTGCTACTAGAAACCAGGCACAAACATACAATATAGACGACTGCAGAAAAACAAAGAAAAACATCCACATGACATGGTGGCTCTGAGTGAGAGGATATATGTTTCAAAAATTAAAAAGAAAAAGGAACAAAGAAAGCCAAAAAATATCATAAAAGAGGCTTGAATCCTCTGTGTAGAAAAATGCAAAGGCAAAGAATCGATCAGGTTGGCAGAAGCTGTTCCCTGGCTTATGGGCAGGAGGGAGCTGGTGAGGCTTTGGAAATTCTGTTACTAACACTAACACGAGAGATCTTTCTGGCCTTTCTGGTTTTGGCAATGGCTCTTCTTCTCCTGCCTTCTAAGGTACTACAGGAAAAAATATTTCCTCTACCTCCATCCCACATTGCCCAGGAACATTTTAAAGGTTGAAGGCTTTCCCATGTTTGTTGTTTAGTGTATGATTTTGTTTTCTGAAGAAAGTGGTATATTTATAATTAAGTATTCTTCACAGAGGGTACCTCGCCCTGGCTTTTACCATAGTATCATTCCTGTCGTGGGTGCAACAGGCTGGTAAATTCCTTTACTGCCCATGACATGGGGTGGTAAAGAAATTTACCAAGACAATCATAGGTAAAGAAAGGCAGATTTATTAGGCAAAGTATGAAAATATGTTGCAAGGGCTCAACAGGCAGCACAGCAGAGAAGGGGCTGTCTGCAAAGAAGCAGGAGCTGGAGGGAAATTTTATAGGGTCACGCTGGAGCGGGACATATGCAGAACGACGTTGTGCTGCTGGGGCTACATGCAGAGTGAGGTATTTGGGAACAAGATGTTGTGGCAGCAGGCTGTCCATGATTAGCCATCTCTCAGAACAATTGTTCTCCCCAACCCTGGGACTCCTGACTTATCAGGACTCTACAACTCCTTAAACCAAATCAGATCACATACACCTATCCCAAGCCACTTCTCTCACCATGTCATAAAATTTACCCATAAAACTACACCCAGGTCTTTAGAATGCCCCCTCTACTGTTTGCATTACCCCTCCTGGGAGTGTTTATTTAGGGTTCACATTCCAGGATCACTTTTCAGAACACACAGTCAAGAATCATATCTGGAAAGTAAAGATTACTTGGAGGGAGGGAGTGAATCCCATCAGACAACTTCATGCTCTGGTTTCCTAGTGAAGCACTGACATAAATGGGTATTTCCATCACATAGCCAAGACTAGCAGTCAATAGGGCCATACCTGACACATAGAAGTTTTATTTGCTTTCACAGTATTAGTCCAACCTAGGTTTCCAGTTTTAGCTAGAGTTGCCTTTATTTTTTAAGTAAGAGATTTGAATCTTCAACTCTTTAATCTGGGGATTTGGGGGCTTCTTTTAAAAAACTGCAAGATAGGGCAGCCCTGAGCCCCCATTTCTTACATGGCAACAATCAGCTAGATTCATGTACTTTATTTGTGCTTTTTTTTTCCTCAAAGTTCCCACCATTTCCTACTACCTCCCACCCCCAAACTGAGCATTCACTAGACATTTCTTATGTTACACTGGCCTGGTGATGTCATTTAAGGTGCCTGCTCACCCCCTGTAGTATTTGAGTTTGCCATCTCTGCCACTTCTGCTCATGAAAAAAAAAGGCCAATGGATTTTACAGGGGAGTTGTGATTGAATAAAAGTTTTCCTCTTCCTTCTAGTATGAAATTCATAGTGCTAGACAGCAGCAAGGTCAATTAAAAAGCTAAAAGAAGATAATGATGATGTTGTAATAATCAGAAATGAATGCAGGTTGTAAAATAATAAAATTACTTGTTTCACAGTCTCCTTAAGGAGCCCATTGTCTACTTGCCAAATTGATATCTGCTACTTGTCCTGTGCAGTCAGCTCGTCCAACACCAATATGGTAGCCACTGAAGTTCTGAAATAGAGGAGACTCTGGGGTTAAAGGCACTGGAGAAGTTTGAGTGGCTGTGGAGCTCTGGGTGGCTGTGGAATGCTGGGTGGCTGTGGAGCGTTGGGCAGCTGTGGAGCCCTGGGTGGCTGGAGGGCTTTGGGTGGTTGAAAAAAAATGGCCTCCTAAATCTAAAACAGAATAAGAGATTTGAGAAACAACATTTCAGCCCTCTTATTTGTCAACATCAATTAGAACACAATATATAGGCTCAGGTTCATAAGGAAAACTCTTTATATATTTTCTTATACATAAAAATATATAGACAGGAACAGCTCAAGAACCTGTTTAAAAATCATAATCCTAAACAGGATGAGAAATATTTCAGACTAACAATCAAGGCCTCTGTCAAATATCCTTCAACTCCTCATCACGAGCCATTCCTTGTCAAACTCACTGCCTTCACTCAACACCCTGCTCTTCTTTTCCAGCTAAACTAAACAGGTGCCAGGTTTACTAAATCCAATATCTGGGGATTGGTTTCTTCCATTTTTTCTATCCAGACTCCTCACTCCTTTCCTCTCCATCTACCAAACTCCACCACCTGCTTCAGAGTTAGTCCATTTCCATCACAGCTAGATCCGACTCAACTCCTCACCTGCAGGATGCCACCCCACTGGCTCTACCTTGGCTCTGATCCTCTTTGACCTTCTGAAGACTTATTTTTAATGCAACCTAGATCACTGTATACATGTTGATATAATTTCATCTTAATTATTCTAGTATTTATATATTCATATCTTTATGTGTATGTATTTATACACATATATTCTATATTAATGTATGCATATATATTTATTATACACACACATACAAATATCAAGGGAAGCAGAATGACATATAGGATTTTTGTAAGAAGACAGATGCAGAAACAAACTGCCTGGGTTTGAAACCTGAATCTACCACTTACTAAGTGAGCAAATCACTTAGCCTATTTCACCCCAATGTTCTCAGCTATAAAATGGAGATTATAATAATATCCTGCTTCCTGGGGCTGTTTTGAACAATAACTATGTTCACTAATATTATAAACTTAGAACAATGGCTACTATGTAGCTTTGATTTTCTTTACCTATTTAGACATGTTATATATTCATCATTTTGTTTATTTCCCTTCCTCAGACAATAGTCAGGAGTTGCCAAGGCATCAAATATCAGTGTCACAAGGCATTTGTAGTCAGAAAGTACTTAGGCAAGAGATTTATAGCTGATTCTTTCTGAAATCCTGGAAATTCAGAGCTCAAAAAACTTAGAGATCACCTAACATAATCTCCTCAGTTTTGCAGATGAGAAAACTGAAAGTCAGAAAAGTGACTTAACCAATAGTTAATGGAGAGCATGTGATGAATCTGGTATGCAATCCAGATCCTCAAACTCAGGATCTGATGCTCTTTCGACCAAATTCTAGGTGGAGTTAGCATCCATGTCTTCTCATTCCCAAGCCGAGATTTTCTTGAAGACATCAAATATTGCAAGGAGTGGAGCAGGCACCTTCGCTATTGCTTCACTGCTACCAGCATAGGAATGTCATGCCAACTAAAGCCAAACCTAACACATAGCCAAGGGTAAGTTATTTACAATCTCAGGGTCTCCGTTTCCCCAAGCGTAAAATGAAACTAATGTAAACAGTAGGACTAGCATCCACCCTTATAGGATTTTTGTGAGAATTAGATGAGAAAATATTCTAGAATCCTCACTATAGTGCTCAACATAGAAACCATTTAATAAACAGTAACTACTGCCATAAGAATAGTTGCTGTAATTAATAATAACCTCCCTGAGTCTCAGCCTCCTGATTTCCTAATTTTAAGAGCTAAAACTGAATAATTATTTTTCTTTTTTTTTTTTAAATGGAGTCTCACTCTGTCACCCAGACTGGAGTGCAGTGGCGTGATCTCAGCTCACTGCAACCTCTGACCCCTGGGTTCAAGCGATTCTCCTGCCTTGCCTCAGCCTCCCGAGTAGCTGGGATTACAGGCGTGCACCACCACAAACAGCTATTTTTTTTTTTTTTAATTTTTAGCAGAGACAGGGTTTTGCCACGTTGGCCAGGCTGGTCTCAAACTCTTGACCTCAGGTGATCTGCCTACCTTGGTCCCCCAAAGTGCTGGGATTATAGGTGTGAGCCACCGGGCCCAGCCAAAACTGAATAATTCTTAATGATCCTTTCACTTCTATCAGTCTATGACCCTGCTGTGCCTACTGCTGGATCAGAGGATCTCTGATCCTCTGTGTTTGCCAGGAATTCAAAGCCCTGGGACATAGTAGAGAATGTGCAGGAAAAGAGACAGGCTACAAAAGGGAAAACTGAGGTAGAAAATATCATCTTCTCCATTTGGCCTAAGGCCAGCCCTGTCTTTACTTTGGTCAGAGCTTCAATCTTTACCAGTCTTCTCTACTCATTTAACAGTTATGTAACCTAACACTGACTGGAACAGAGGCTCCACCAAGACCCACTGCCAATCTTTGTGTAAATGTAGCCTACGTTGTTCTCAAAAACTTTGTTTCCAACATTTTAAAAAATCATGAGATATCTAAAAATTCCAATTTCCAGGTTCTCTGGAAAACTCAGGAGATCTGAGATCATGTGTTCTCTCTACAACAAACAGCTGCCACCTGGGAGAGGCTGTAGGCCTTCTTCACAAGAATTGCACCTGTCTCCTCCTTGGTCCACCTCCTCACTCCACCTCATCTGCAAAACTTGATTAGCCCTTGTAAGGATTTACGTTTGAGACCCCTTTCTCTAAAGCTCTTCACAGACTAATTGACATTCATTCAGTGAGTCTTTCATTCTCCTTTTGCCCCCAGGAGAAAATGATGTCTACAAGGAGGCAAATTGAAAGATTAGAGGCTCATGGTAAAAGCTGCCATTACTAGACCTTGACGAATCTTGAGCTGTGCTTAGATCAATGGAAAAACTAATGGCAAACAAGTACATGTCAGAATGCCTGTCAGCTGGCTATTGGGGACAAAGGTAAACTTGATAAAAATTGCTATCAATGCAGAATGGGCAATTAATGCAAAGGGAGACGGCTATTCCAGGCTGCTTAAGTACACGTAGAACTATCAGCAGACACTGTTTTTCTCTTTGGTGTCCACAGTAATCAAGAAGTTTCATACAGGCCTAAAAATTGCATCTAAGAGAGCCCATGACACTTGCCTTTGTGGTTTTCAATGGTCCCACTGGTGATAAACAAGAGGCTGAGAAGGGCCACTGTGATGGCACTCATCATTACAAGGAGGAAAATCAGGAATGTCTCCAAGTTAGAGAAGGTGCGTTTGGCCATTTCTTCTCAGGTACAGCAGAGATGGAAGAAGAAATACTGAAGAGGAAGAAATCACAAATTAAAATGCAAATGCTTTAAGCCAACCGAGGTTAAGATATCTTAGCTCTTTCATATTAATAGACTATACCAAGAACGACAAGTACAGAGCACTTACCACTCATTCCATAGACCAAGCCCATGGCAGACAAGACCAATCAATTACAGCATTCTTTTTGAAAAGCTCGAATGTGGTTTCCAAATCTTTCTCAACACAACACTCCTCCTGGCAGCAACCATTCATGATTTAGCATTGGCCACTGAGCTCAACTGAGCTAAAATCTATTTGCATTCCTCAGCCATATCACACTGCTTTCATTTATGGCGATGATGCTGTTTATGGATCTGTACATGGGTCTGGGCTGAGAGTGCCTCTGTTAACAAGGATGACTGATGCACGCATACTTCTTGTATTTGGGAGAAGGCTGGCTGGGGTTAGGACAGTACTCTGTGGTCATGGACTTAGTAGAATTATCTTGTTCACCTGGAGGTGAAACCCGTAACTTTGGCCTTTACACTCTATGTTTTAACTTTCAATTACTATCTGGTGAGAAATGGGCATGGAAAAGGGAATTAGTACCTCTGGTCTGAAGGCAGGCATTACAAAAAACATCCCCCTTCAGTGATCAGAAGGATCCCAAACACTTTGCAAACCCTGTATCAAAGGATGAGAATTTAAAATGTTCCTATGTTCTACAAAAGTATCAAATGTCATTACAGATTCCTTAAGATGTTTTAAGGGAGGGAGAATTAATCATTACTCAGAGGAACTATACAAGTTAAAACCCCATATAATGTAATAGAAAGAAATATAATATGGTGGTTAAAAATTTAGTTTTGAAATCTGACTCCAGCAGTCAAATTTCATTTCTGCCACTTACTGGATGACTTTGGGAAATCCTCCCCCAATACTGAACATCAGCTTCACCATCTATAAATAGGAATATGATTATGATCATCTTATCTCAAAGTTCTTATAAAACCTATCTCATAAATTTCTTATAAAAATAAGATGAGATGAAGCAACAGTACTTCTTTTGTTCAATAAATGCTCAAACTGGTAGCATTTTTTAATAGATTCCAAAGTAGCAAAGAGTCTGTGCTCTTCCCTGTCCTTTAAGGGAATTTACAGGAGGCTAGTGTTAAAGGATGATTGGAATCACAGGTGGGACCTTCAGAGCCCATTTTCTTAACCTGTGCTTTAGGAAGCCTGAGAGGTGAAATGGTATTGGAATCCCAGGATTTGCCCCCAAAATAGGGGATTTGTGGCTAAGATGCTGCTACCCCCAAGAGTTAATAAATGGCAACAATGTAGATGTATTTAGTACAGTCAATTTTTTATTCAATTTGACTTAGGTAACAAGATATAAAAAAATAGCATTCAGAGTTTATAAAGAGTTTACATTTACAATCCTGAAATTTCAAATTATCTCCTAAAATAATTCGTAAAATATGATGACACTGAGCCAGCATTCCCGTGTGCCAAGAGTTTCCTAAAACTCAGTGCTGTTGTTCTCTTTAGATGGGGGATATATTCTTCAACCTGCCAATCTCTACCCAGCAGGCCTTATTTATCTAAGTTACTACCTGGTCTGTGCAAGCATTTGATTTTGCAATTCCTGGGCTAGAGGTGAAAGATCAGTCTAACAGCAGACACTTCAGAGGGTAGGCTGAACTGGGAGTGGGCAAAGAGACTGGAACATCTTCCCAAATTTTCTGGTTATTGGGAAGCTTTCCTCATCCACTTATCACCACCATAATGCCCTTAACCACCAGCAGCAGGGACAACTTCAAATGTGGAGCAAAACAAGTCAGATCTGTGACTTATGATCAACTTCTATTGTCAGTTTCCAGGAGTCAGGAAACACATCTAAGACATGCCTCTGAACTCTAAGGATCTACAGATAATTACTACTCATTAGCAGCTGTTTCACCAGCAAACTTCAAACCCAGTATCTCTAGTTTTTGCTCAGGGCTTTGGTTCTCTAAGCCTTCCTACTAGCCAAGATGACTGACAGCTGGACCTCCCAACCCCAGAGCATGGACAGGCAGATTGTGTATGTAAATGTGGTCATGTGTTAGAAGCCTGTGTATCAAACAGAGAGGGTACAAAATAATACTTCTTTTTTGTTTCTAGTTTTGCGTTGGTGAGCTGATGATATTTTATGCCACTCAACAATGGCACTTGATTTAACATTAGTGTTTCCACCTATTACGTGGACTTGAATGATCTACCTCATGTGTTTCATCATTCTGTTTAGCTGCCAGAATTGTTGCCAACACAGTAACATTCTTTTTGAACCACTTTAGCTAACTTGACCACCACCTTTAAGGAACTTAAAACTTGGGTTAGCACTATTTATTTCTCATTGGTGATTAAAATCTGAATTTGAATGTTAAAGCAGATGCCTTCCCTGCCTTTAGAATGAAACACTCCTTGGTAGAGCTAAGCCAATAATTATATCTTAAAGGATTCTAGATTTTATAATGGTTCACACTTAATCTGTAATAATCCTGAAAACTCAGTAATGAGGCTCTCATGGCACAATAGCAAGCCGTTTGCCACATCTTCACATAACGGGGTCCCTGTTTTTCAAGGAGAGAGTAAAAGGTAACAATTTGGCAAAAGAGGGTTCCAAAGCTATGAGATAAATTGAAGCTTTAGGGTCTCTTCAAGATCTCTGAGACAATAGGATAATTCAAGAGCCCTCCTTCCCTCCTTCCCCAAGAAAACATAGCTGTCCTTACCTGATTCTAGTACTCAAAAGAGGTTTTGCATCCCAGTGAAGCAAATGGCCATCCAGAATCCTGTCCCCTTTCCCCTTGCACGTTGCTGGGCTTACACCTCTCAGCACTTTCTGAAACCTACTGAGAAAAATTTTCAGTCAAGTCCAGGAGTGTTAGAGCTCTCATTAGCATACCTTTGTGGGCTTGGTACAAGTATGAGATTAAAGAGTATTGATAACAAAAGGCTTATACATGAACTCTCTCTTAGGGCAGACTGTTATCAAAGATAGAAGTTGCAGAAGGCCTGCTGGACTGAAGGTCATTTCACTTTTTCTGTAACTTTTCCAGCATGACAAGTTCTGTGCAAAGCTTATAACCTGAATCACAAAAAAACAAAACAAAACAAAAAAAACACCTACTTCATTTAACACTGGTCGTTCTACAGCAAAGAGATTAGTAATATATGCTGGACATCAGTGTGGGCTGTGGATAGCAATGGGCAATATTTCCACCAATTTCAGAACAGAAAACTAATCAATTTTTATGAGTGCTCATAAAAAGAATGCAAAATTTTAGATTTACTAAATGTGAGTAGTAACTAATACAGCAAGACTGCTATGCAACTATTAAAAATCACACTGAAAATAATTTAATGACATGCAAAAATTGCCAAATATTAAGTAATTTTAAGTTTATAAAACAATACGATCCCATTTGTAAACATTACATATGTTTACTTTATATACATCATATACTTTATATATATTACATATTAAAGACTGTAAGTACAGGAAAATGTTAAGAGGTAATTATCTGGTGATTATGGGTGGTTTTGTTTTCATTGTTTTGTCTCTTGGTATTTTCTATCATAGGCATGCATCACTTTTGAAATGGGGAAATAAAATGTTTTCCTTCCTCTTGGAGAATATAGACTACAGCATGAAGTTAAACAATGGACCATGGAGACAAAGGAAGCAATAAAGAAACCAACCAACCCATTCCCTTTTTTTCCCTAGTAAAATCTAAGCTGTCTAGGACACATTTTAAAGAAGGCCATAAAAGCCGCTTAATTCCTTGCAGAGTTTGATCAGAGACAGGCCTGCAAAGTTCCAACTGAAGTATTAAAGACACAAGTTCCTTCAGATAGGGCATTTAGTAATGCATCTTAAATTTCTCTCTGCTGCTACAGAGGGAGAAAGATTAAATCATGATATTAAACAAGGTTTTTTTAGTGCATTTATGTTAGAATTCTTGGTTGCAAGCAAACACCAAATCTAGTTAAGGTAGGAAAAGAGGGGAAAAAGAGACAAAAAGTAAATTCACTGGAAGACAGCAAGAAAAGCTGCAGACCCAGGATCAGGATGGCCAGGAATCAGGGCATCTCTGCGTATCTAGGTAGCAGGAGCTACCGAACAATCTCTTCAGGGCATCACCATTGAGATGGATGGACTGCAACTACTTTAGGTCTTGTGTTGCTCCACTCAGGAGCCAATTTCTGAAAGACAGCTATATAATAACTTTATCCTTTCATCTGAAGGGATACTTAACTGGGAATCTTAAAAAAAAACATTCACAAAGAGAGAAGAGTAGTTCTCCAAAATAAAATCAAGGTGCTATAGCTGATGAGCCAATAAAAACAACAAATACCCACTAGTGACCTTCCATTGGATTTCCTTCTCCCACCTTTCTCCCTTGCAGTGGGGAGGCCTCTTGACTGGCCCTGTGGTCTCCTCCAGACTTCCCCAGCCATCTTCCCCATCATAAAAAGGAGCCATGCTACGGCCCATTCAGAGTCCTGCTCAGTGACTCACAATCTAGACAGATGAGATTATTTTAACCAGGGTTTTGGTAGACAACAATGGCATAATGTGTCACCTTTCCTAGTCTACATTTGAGGGTCCATAACTGAACAATAATGGGGTGAGAATTGAGAAGATTCCAAGCGCCCATCAAAACAACTGACTCCTACAGACAGGAACAAGACTCAATACTCCCCTGGGGTGAGATGAAGATACAGTCACTGTGAATATTTTAACTTGTGCACATATTTTATTTCTGTCTGGAATGATCCTCTCATGAATCCAATTAGATAGGATAAGCTAACTGTTCTTCTCCACACTACACCCCCGAAAATTTACTCATGTAAACATACTCTACCCATTTTACAGAGGAGGAAACAGACACCAATTTTCAGAACACATAAGGGTGGTTAAAAGTGAGCATGATTCAGCAATGGTATTCAAGGATGTAAGCCCAAGTCTCCAGACTCCTAGACAAGAGCTTTTGCCTCTCACCAAATTATAATTGTCTACATCATCTTGACCTGAACCTTGGCATGGCAGCCTCTGAGGATATGAAAGTCTATGCGTTCACTCCTTACTAGCAATTGATGGAGCAAAGCTATGTCCTCTGTCTCTTAACACCCCATCACAGAGGGAAAAACTAATCAGCACAAAGTAAAGGCAGCTGATGAATAATTGTATTCAAGCTGGAAGAATACTTCTCCCAAAACCCTAACTCCTAAATCATTAAGCAATAATCACTAGCATCACAATTGTTCTTAATATTTTACTTATGCAGTCTTAGAAGGCATGGTGCTAATTTCATATACTTTGTGCTAAGGGCCATATTCTTTCATTATTTAACTCTTAGAGTAATTAAAGATTAAATAACTTCTGGCTGGACTTGGTGGTTCACGCCTATAATCCCAGCACTTTGGGAGGCTGAGGCGGGCGGATCACGAGGTCAGGAGATCAAGACCATCCTGGCTAACACGGTGAAACCCCATCTCTACTAAAAATACAAAAAAAAAATTAGCTGGGCATGGTGGCAAGCACCTGTAATCCCAGCTACTCTGGAGGCTGAGGCAGGAGAATCGCTTGAACCCGGGAGGTGGAGGTTGCAGCAAGCCAAGCTCGCACCACTGCACTCCAGCCTGGGATACAGAGCAAGACTCTGTCTCAAAAAAAAAAAAAAAAAAAAAAAAAAACTTCTAGAAAAAATATACTGTTATATATAGCATCCAGATTGTCATCTCTAAATAACATTTCTTGCTGAAAGAAACTGGAAATCCTTGGAGAAACAGCTGGTTCTGGGTCTGGGGCAGGAATTACATGAACTAAGCTGGGAATATTTTATTATGCCAGAAGTCAAAAAAGTCATCAAAATTAGGAAGACAGTATCTAAAGAACTAGAGCGCTTCCCACTAACCGAAGATTATTTAACTTTAGCATCAATTTAAAAAATAACTGCAATGGGTTGAAGCAAATCAAATATGCTTAAATCCATGATGTCATAATGATACTTTTTAAAAAGATGGTAGGGAACCAATTTGTTATTCTTAAAATTGGTTTAAAAAAAGGAGAGGAGTAGGAATCAAGAAGTCAAGGATATACTCTGCTTTTCCTGCATGCATGTACAGCAGGAAAGCCAAATAGTTGATGAGGGACAGTTTCTCATGATAAAAGTATTCCAGCTAATAAATGAGGAAGAAATGACAAACTTGAATCTAAATATTTTGCAATCCCTGATGAAATGATGGATCTAGAAAAAGATCATCAATAGCTGATTAAGTCACCAATAGAGAAAAAGAGAGACAACAAGATACTGCAGCCTCTGAACCACGTACACAACCGCATACTGCAACCTCTGAACCATCTGTACAACATTCTCAACTTTACCAAAAAGCGAAACCTAAATCGGATCAGCCTCTAGATCTAAGTGCCTGTTCATAGGAAATACAAAAGACAACTGAATATGTATGTTAAGGACAACATGGGGGTACAGAAGGCAAAATTTAGACTGTGAGATAGTAAGACCAATGATCCAGTTTGTTTAAAAAACATGTTAGAACTGAAGAGAAAGAAGAAGAAGTAGGAAGGGGGAGGTGGTGAGGGGGAGACAAGAACAAGAGCAAGAATGGATTAGGGAGGGGAGAGAAGGGCAGAGGCAAAGGGAGAAATGGCCAGGGAAAGGGAGGGCAGAGGAGAGGAAAGGTGAGAAGAGGCTGCAGATTAAAAGAGGCTTAAGAGACAGGTCAAACCACTGTATGTTGTAGGCTCAGAACCAACATTATTTGGAAACTGATTCAAACAAAAACAAAAAATTTACGAAATGGGGGAAATTTTAACACTGACTAGATATATAACAATGTTCAGGGATTGTTTAAAATATAATAATGGTATTGTGATTATACTTTTTAAAGAAATTTTTATGTTTTAGAGACGCATTCTGAAACACAGATTTAAAAAAAGAAATGGTATATTAATAAAAATTGCAAACATCAAATGGTTGGATGGATGGACAGATCAATGGATGGATGGTTGGTTGGACAGTTAGCAGAACAGATGGGAGGACAGATGGATGGACATAAGCTTTGTTCTTGAAAATGCTAGTTGACAGGAGATAGGTAGGTAAGGAGCACTATAGCAGATACTGCAGAACACTCCAGTCAACACCCATTTCAAATTCTAGTGTACAGAGAAGCTGGACCCCCATTTGCCTAGAGTTCCAGATAGAGTTTAGGTTCTGCCTTTCAGATGCATTGGCATGATACTTTGATTCAGAACTGAGCCAGTTGGGGAGTGAATCAGGGCATGGGCCATCCATTTTCATGGTTTGGATCATGGCAGCACAGCTCTGAACTGGTAGTTTGGTGGCTGTTTCCAGATGCTGCAGCCTGCTTCCTTGCTGTGTGAACATGGTCAAGGTAGCCCACCACTAAGAAGCTCAATTCTGCAATTTAAGCTGGGGAGTTGTTCCTGGGGGCTCAGCTTCAACTCTCTGACTTCAGCCTTCACAATAATACTGCAAGTTATCTCAATCCCTTAATAAATCCTTTTCTTTTTAAGTTCCCTAGAGTGGATTCTGTTATCTCCAACTAAGAACATGGCCAAGCTGAATCTCACAGAAGTGAGTGTTGGACCTCACTGTAAAGAATACATGCATTCTAATCAACTGGACTCTGTGTATGCACGTTGCCTCTGGGAACATTTTTAAAGTTAAAAGTAGTGTGCAGTCTGCCATAATGCATTTTTATTGGATCCAAAAAGAAATTTGTTTTCAGTACACAGGGATGCTATGGTGGTACTTTACTACTTCATGGGTTTTTCATAAGACTGAAAAATCTCTTTGACCCCCAAAGCAGTCTCATCACAAGTTAACTGTAGATTCACCTTTCCAATGGTCTCTATTCTACTTTGAACTCAACCTGCAAGCAAGAGAGGAGGAGCATCTTTTGTTCTGAGCTGAAATGAATGTTTCTTATTTAACCCCTTATGCATCCATCATATATTAAGCCTGAAAGCCTGAGACTGCAACTAAAGATGGCCCAGTGTGGTGCAGATCCCTGGTTGATTCTGTGAGGGAGTTCTCGGCTCTGACCAAAGTGGCAGGGCTTGGAAGAAAATAGAGCATAACAAGAGAGCACATCATTGCCCTCCTTCCCCCAGGAAATTTACAAAGCCCGTGATCCCAGCAAAGAGTAACAGGTAGATGCTGACAATCTTCTGCTTTTCTCAGACAGCAGGGCAGATAAAACTACTCCAGGATTACAGAGTTTCTTCCCTCAAATTTACCCCAGTTCTGCCTTCAAAACAAAGGAAAAAGATAAAGGGAAGCATTGTGGATATGAAAAGAACTGGGATTTAAATCTAAAGTTTAAGATGTGTATGTTTGCATGTTTGTTTGTTTGTTTTCAGTGACCTTAATTTCCCTGAGCTTCATTCATTTCCTTATATATACATAAAAAAAAGCACAGAGACTAACAAGAACCTACCTACCTTGTTAAAAGATCACATAGATAATATGTTTTTTAAACTCCTCTGTTCACTCTATAACAGGAAGCAAATTAGTTATTTTTTGAATTATGGACTAATTAATTCTGGATGCCCCAAGAGTGGCAGGTTGTGTGCATTTTAAACTCTATAGCACAGTTACCTTTTCCTGGTATATTCCTCACACTTGGTTCTAAAGATATCCCCATTGAACTTTGATAAATTCAACCTTAAGTGAAAAAAACTATCTTTTGCTATTTTTGACACATCCAGAGAGTTTAAATTCTGGATAAAATTAGAATTGCAAAATGTCCCTATTTCTCCACTGTTAGATAAACACTGGGGGGCTGTAGAACCTTTTTCAGAGTCTTTGGAAATTATTCTCTGATGATTTATCTTTTTCTAAAACCACAGATAAGAATTTATTTCATTTGGCAATGACAAATTTGACCTGTGTGCTATACAAGATTACAAAGGCAGATTGGGAGAAAGCAGGATGCAGTTGCATTTATCATTATTTCAGGGACAGGGTGGAAATATCTTCTGATGTAATGCTTGCCCTCTATATAAATCCCAGATGGTTCATATCTCCCACCTGTGCTGTGCACCTGTGGAAAAAAAAAATACCACACTGTCCTTTGATAGAACTTGAAAAAGAAAGGACCAAGAGAAGCAGAAAGCAAATGATAACATCAAAGTCCACCCTGACTCAATCGATGCTCCCTCAGGCCAATGTGAGGAAGGAGGGAGGAGAGTCTGAGAGGAGCTTGGCGTGGAGGCATATGGTCTTTCTTATATTGGGCAGAATCAAACCTGAGGAGGAAACCCACCAGGTAAGAATTGTTCTCTTTCCTGGAGCAAACTCACTGGCAACCATTCAGAGAATCCCCCCATTAGATCAGCCAAGAAGTAAAAGGGGAGGGGAACCAGACCTTCCCAATGCCAGGAAGTGAATGTACAGCATTTCTCACATTCTCTCTTGCTGCAATGGTCTAACTCCTTCCCAAGGACAATCCACTCTAGAACCAGGAAGAAAAAGAAAAAGTTATTGCTCATGTATATCTACCTGGAGGTATAATGCCTGCAGGAGGACTTAACATCTTGGATTTATCACTGATGTGGGATGGTTATAAGAGCCAGGAGACATCTGAAATACCAGGCTCAATGGTGCAGTCAATGAAATAAAAGTAGGTGATGTAGGAAGTATGTGACGTTACCTCAACTTTGTGGAGACCAAGACATCTGAACTGGAGGCTGACACAGGGGTTGGATCCTAAGAGGCTGAGGTTAGGGCAGGAAGTTCCCACCTGAGCTAAGTGGGTTCCCTAAGAGTCAAAGGGGCCAGCTCAGGAAAGTCTGTGAGAGAAAGGCAGAGCTCGATGACAAGGGGGAAACCATGAGGAATTTTGAGCTTGCAAGAGCCAAAGGCAGGATCCAACTCAGATTTCAGAGCCAAGATGAGGCCAGGCCAGGATGGAATCTAAGCTAAAGCAGATAAGGCACAAGTCCAAAGAGGTTGGCGGTCTTGGCCCCAGGTCACCTACAGGTAGTATTTGTGACTCCATTTTATTAGTAGTCTGTAGATTAGAGAGATCTGTGTGGGTTGGGCTGGCTTATCCAGCCAGAACAAGAAAGATGATCATTAAAACAACAACAATTTATTGAGCTCTTACTATGTAGATACTTATCAAGTGAGGGCAAGAAGGACAGTCATCTTTTTAAATAATAAAAAATAAAATGCAATTAACTTACTGAACTTATTATGCTCCAGTCACTGTTCTGAGGCTATTACAAGAATTACTTCATTTAATATTCACTGTAACCCTGTGAGGGTGGTACTATTCCTATCCTCATTTTACATTTGAATTAAAAAATAAAAAACTAAGTCATAGAGAAGTCAATCAAAGAGCTGATAGTTGGAGGTCATATAGCCTGTAAGAGATCAAGCTGGATTCAAAATAGATCATCTGCCCTCAGAGTTCTCTAGCTTAACCATCAGCTACATTATGCAACATAAGCATCTGCCTTCTACTGGTATCAATATATTCATGTTTTTATTTGTTTATTTATTTGAGATGGAGTTTTGCTCTTGTCGCCCAGGCTGGAATGCAGTAGTGCAATCTCAGCTCACTGCAACCTCCACCTCCCGGGTTCAAGCAATTCTCCTGCCTCAGCCTCCCTAGTAGCTGGGATTACAGGCACACACCACCACGTCTGGCTAATTTTTATATTTTTAGTAGAGATGGGGTTTCATCATGTTGGCCAGGCTGGTCTCAAACTCCTGACCTCAGGTCATCCACCCGCCTGGACCTCCCAAAGGGCTGGGAGTGAGCCACCACAGCGGCCTATATTCATGTCTTTAGAGTAACAAAAAGATAATACATGTCAATTTGTGAAAGCCATAAAGCTGTTGTAAGAAGAAATCAAACCTTTTGTCTCAGTGATTGTGAGAAGAGGTAAGGATTCTGAAGTCATCTAGGCCAACCCCCTTGTCACAGAGATAGTTACTCACCCTAGGTCACTGTGGTGGAGTCTTGCAGTGCCCATTCATATCTGGTTCTCCATTCCTTTATGGGCATATGGGAAGATTATACTTTCCAGTCTCCTGGTACTGGCAAATGGGCTATGAGTGGCAGTGACATGCATCACTTCTGGAATGAAGCATTTAGTGCTGAGGCATTTGAGAGGGGGTGTGTGTTCTGCATGCTCTCCCTTCCTCTGCCTTGGTGACCCTGAGTGTCACGTGTCCCAGATGACAGGTTACAAGTTCCTTGAGATATCTCTTGGAAGCAACTGACCTCCAAGAGTTGCCAGACCAAGAATGGGTTTTGCATAAACAAGAAATAAATGTTTACATATTAAGCAACTAAGATTCAGGAGATTTATTTGTTACCACAGCAAGCTTCCTGCCCATCCTAACTAACACGCTTATAATGCCAGCTTATTAAGATGACTTCTTAGCTAAATTATAAATCTTACTTTTAAATTATTTCAGTCCAATAAACATCTCAATCAAATGATTTTATTTCTACTTTTCAAAACATATTAAAATCCCTCTAATTCGGAGATAAAATTTCATGCAACCTCAAATACAAAACATAGCTAAAAACATAGAGGAAATATAAAAGGCTTATAGGTTACAAAAATTCATGACATAAAGTCCACGTATTTTACACTACGGGAGAGTCTTCATTAAGATAGAGGTAACTTTAATTTACATACAATTCTAACCACCTGTCCTTTTTCTTTCGATCACAGAAAATTAACACAGGTTTCTAGAAGCAGACACACAGGTAGTAAAAGTGATAGCTTAAAGAGACTCAAGTGAAAATTACTCTGTGCAGGACAATAATTAGTGGTCATAGTGACAATTTGAGTCTTTTAACAACCTCTAAAACAGCAAAATCTGAAACCCGTTTAAAAGACTTTTTTCTTCTAATTTTGAGGTTTAAAAGAACTCCAAGTTCTAAAGCTACCCATAATATGAAGAGGGAGACAAAGAGACAACTAGACTAATCCATCTCAAAATGTAACAGTGTTTTGTTAGCATGGTATTTAGGGAACTCTTTACTTAACCATATTTAAATTTTTTCTGCAATGATAATGTATTACTTTTGTGATACAAAGATAATTTTTTTTAAAGGGTTGAATTCTGGTGTACATAAAAGTCACATGGAGTGAATAATTCCCCAGATAGGCTAAAAAAAGGAAGTGTCAACTCTACTAGCCTATTCTTATGCATCATCAAATGAAGAATAACCACTGCTAAAAATAGTTTCTGTTTCTTTTCTTAAACATATGAGGAGGACTGTGCTAACCTCAGATTCTATCTCGGGTGAGCTCAGAAGTCAGTGGTCTGGGTACGTGGGACTTTTAGAAGTAAAGACTCATCAACCAATTCATTCAGGACTAATGGAACAGAACAAGTTCTACTGCTTATTCATGTCACTAATCAGAGAACAGGCTGAGCTACCTATTCATACCCAGATGAGCTGAACCTTGGATGCACCATAAGAGATAAAGATTCTTCTGAATAGGATAATTAACATGGTGTTTACAGAAGGGATTTGATAAAACCAGGTTGCATGGAGCTGTGACCAAGTTGTTGCCTCATAAATGAGTCCAAAGTTCAAGATAATCTTGAAGACTAGTATTTTTTCCATTCCAATGTGTTGGTTCTATGACTGATATATTCAAAATATGTAAATACTGGTTCAGCCTGGGCACTGATCAATCAGAGAAGATGCAAGAGTACACACGTGGTAGACCTGTGTGGATGTATTCCTGCTGAACTTCAGCTTTGGTGAGCTTCTCTTTAAAATGTGGAGTTATGCATTGGCTGAGGGGTTTCTTCCTTCCAAGTCCCAATTATTGAGTTATAAGCCTTATAAATAGAATGAGTAGTCATTTTTTAAAACCTTCAATTTCATCATCTCACACTGCTGAAAAACTACTTCAATCCATCATAAGGGGGACATGCCACCCATAGCACTTATATGTTGCATCTGAAGAGTACCACTAGAGGGAAAACCATCAGAAAACTGGCAGGATGGCCAGGTGAGGTGGCTCGCACCTGTAATCCCAGTGCTTTGGGGGGCCAAGGCAGAAGGAGCACTTGAAGCCAGGAGTTCAAGTTCAAGACTAGCCTGGGCCACATAGCAAGACATTGACTTTACAAAAAAAACAAAAATTATCTGGGCATGGTAGCATGTGCTTATAGTCAAAGCTACTTGGGAGGCTGAGGAGGGAGGACTGCTTAAGCCCAAGAGTTTGAGACCTCAGTGAGATATGATCATGACACTACACTCCAGCCCTGACAACAGAGTGAGACCCCATCTCTAAGTTGGAAAAATAAAATTAAATAAAATTAAAATAAAATAAAAAGGAAAGCTGACATGACATCTTTCAGACCTGCCAGCATGGCTGGGTGTGAATGCTTCCAACCAAAGCACAATTGCTGCCCTAATAAAACTGAATTACATGACAAAGGAAGAAAACAGTTTAGGCAGGTTATAAGCTGAATTATCCTTGAAAGCCCTTTGGAGGGAGAGAAAACAAACCTAATTTGTAGAAGAGGAAAGTGAGACCATAAGCAATGCTTAAAATTGTGCCCAGGAGGGAGGCTGCCTACATCACACTCATATTTAAGGCAGAAGTAAGTAAGTGGGCATATTTATCAAGTGCTCTCCTAAGTGCTGAGTGCTTTACAACAGGTAAGTATGTGAGGGAAACTTACAGATGTCTGCAAGAGAATGGCACAGAGATGGCCAAATAGGAAGAGCTCCAGTCTACAGCTCCCAGTATGAGAGATGCAGAAGATGGGTGATTTCTGCATTTCCAACTGAGATACTGGGTTCATCTCACTGGGGAGTGTCGGACAGTGGGTGCAGGACAGTGGGTGCAGCACACCGAGCGTGAGCCGAAGCAGGACGAGGCATCACCTCACCCGGGAAGTGCAAGGGGTCAGGGAATTCCCTTTACTAGTCAAAGAAAGGGGTGACAGATGGCACCTGGAAGATCAGGTCACTCCCACCCTAATACTGTGCTTTTCCAGTGGTCTTAGCAAACGGCACACCAGGAGATTATGTCCCGTGCATGGCCCAGAGGGTCCTATGCCCACGGAGCCTCGCTCATTGCTAGCACGGCAGTCTGAGATCAAACTACAAGGCAGCAGTGAGGCTGGGGGAGGGGCGGCCGCAATCGCTGAGGCTTGAGTAGGTAAACAAAGCAGCCAGGAAGCTCAAACTGGGTGGATCCCACCACAGCTCAAGGAGGCCTGCCTGTCTCTGTAGACTCCACCTCTGGGGGCACGGCATAGCGAAACAAAAGGCAGCAGAAACCTCTGCAGACTTAAGTGTCCCTGTCTGACAGCTTTGAAGAGAATAGTGGTTCTCCCAGCACACAGCTTGAGATCTGAGAATGGATAGACTGCCTCCTCAAGTGGGTCCCTGACCCCCGAGTAGCCTAACTGGGAGGCACCCCCCAGTAGGGGCAGACTGACACCTCACATGGCCGGGTACTCCTCTGAGACAAAACTTCCAGAGGAACGATCACGCAGCAACATTTGCTGTTCACCAGTATCTGCTGTTCTGCAGACTCCGCTGCTGATACCCAGGCAAACAGGGTCTGGAGTGGACCTCCAGCAAACTCCAACAGACCTGCAGCTGAGGGTCCTGACTGTTAGAAGGGAAACTAACAAACAGAAAGGACATCCACACAAAACTCCATCTGTACATCACCATCATCAAAGACCAAAGGTAGATAAAACCACAAAGATGGGGAAAAAACAGAGCAGAAAAACTGGAAACTCTAAAAAGCAGAGCGCCTCTCCTCCTCCAAAGGAATGCAGCTCCTCAGCAGCAATGGAACAAAGCTGGATGGAGAATGACTTTGACGAGCTGAGAGAAGAAGGCTTCAGACGATCAAACTACTCCGAGCTAATGGAGGAAGTTCGAACCCATGGCAAAGAAGTTAAAAACCTTGAAAAAAAATTAGACGAATGGCTAACTAGAATAACCAATGCAGAGAAGTCCTTAAAGGACCCAATGGAGCTGAAAACCATGGCACGAGAACTATGTGATGAATGCACAAGCCTCAGTAACTGATGCAATCAACTGGAAGAAAGGGTATCAGTGATGGAAGATCAAATGAATGAAATGAAGCGAGAAGAGAAGCTTAGAGAAAAAAGAATAAAAAGAAACAAACAAAGCCTCCAAGAAATAAGGGACTATGTGAAAAGACCAAACCTACATCTGATTGGTGTACCTGAAAGTGACGGGGAGAAGGGAACCAAGTTGGAAAACACTCTGCAGGATATTATCCAGGAGAACTTCCCCAATCTAGCAAGGCAGGCCAACATTCAAATTCAGGAAATACAGAGAATGCCACAAAGATACTCCTTGAGAACGGCAACTCCAAGACAAATAATTGTCAGATTCACCAAAGTTGAAATGAAGGAAAAAATGTTAATGGCAGCCAGAGAGAAAGGTCGGGTTACCCACAAAGGGAAGCCCATCAGACTAACAGCTGATCTTTTGGCAGAAACTCTACAAGCCAGAAGAGAGTGGGGGCCAATATTCAACATTCCTAAAGAAAAGAATTTTCAACCCAGAACTTCATATCCAGCCAAACTAAGCTTCATAAGTGAAGGAGAAATAAAATACTTTACAGACAAGCAAATGCTGAGAGATTTTGTCACCACCAGGCCTGCCCTGAAAGAGCTCCTGAAGGAAGCACTAAACATGGAAAGGAACAACCGCTACCAGCCACTGCAAAAACATGCCAAATTGTAAAGACCATCCAGGCTAGGAAGAAACTGCATCAACTAATGAGCAAAATTACCAGCTAATATCATAATGACAGGATCAAATTCACACATAGCAATATTAACCTTAAATGTGAATGGGCTAAGTGCTCCAATTAAGACACAGACTGGCAAATTGGATAAAGAGTCAAGACCCATCAGTGTGCTGTATTCAGGAAACGCATTGCACATGCAGAGACACACATAGGCTCAAAATAAATGGATGGAGGAAGATCTACCAAGCAAATGGAAAACAAAAAAAGGCAGGGGTTGCAATCCTAGTCTCTGATAAAACAGACTTTAAACCAACACAGATCAAAAGAGACAAAGAAGGCCATTACATAATGGTAAAGGGATCAATTAAACAAGAAGAGCTAACTATCCTAAATATATATGCACCCAATACAGCAGCACCTAGATTCATAAAGCAAGTCCTGGTTGGTGTTGGGGGCTTAGCCGAGGGACGTTACCGGAAAGTTGCAGGCGGGAGGACTCTTCCCCATCCAGTCACCTGACAGGTCACAAACATGTCAGACAAAAGTGAATTAAAGGCTGAGTTGGAACGTAAGAAGCAGCAACTGGCCCAAATCAGAGAGGAAAAGAAGAGAAAAGAAGAAGAAAGGAAAAAAAAAGAAACAGATCAGAAGAAGGAAGCTGTTGCTCCTGTGCAAGAAGAATCAGATCTTGAAAAAAGAAGAAGAGAAGCTGAAGCATTGCTCCAAAGCATGGGGCTAACTCCAGAATCCCCCATTGTCCCTCCTCCTATGTCTCCATCCTCCAAATCTGTGAGCACTCCAAGTGAAGCTGGAAGCCAAGACTCTGGAGATGGCGCCGTGGGATCTAGACGAGGACCTATTAAACTTGGAATGGCTAAAATCACGCAAGTCGACTTTCCTCCTCGAGAAATTGTCACGTATACAAAGGAAACTCAGACTCCAGTTATGGCTCAACCCAAAAAAGATGAAGAGGAAGATGATGATGTAGTGGCTCCTAAACTACCTATTGAACCTGAAGAAGAGAAAACTTTAAAGAAAGATGAGGAAAATGATAGTAAAGCTCCCCCCATGAGCTGACTGAAGAAGAAAAGCAACAAATCTTGCACTCTGAGGAATTTTTAAGTTTCTTTGACCATTCTACAAGAATTGTAGAAAGAGCTCTTTCTGAGCAGATTAACATCTTCTTTCACTATAGTGGGAGAGATTTGGAAGACAAAGAAGGAGAGATTCAAGCAGGTGCTAAACTGTCATTAAATTGACAATTTTTTGACGAACGTTGGTCAAAGCATCGGGTTGTTAGTTGTTTGGATTGGTCATCTCAGTATCCGGAGTTACTCGTGGCTTCCTATAACAACAATGAAGATGCCCCTCATGAGCCTGATGGTGTGGCCCTTGTATGGAATATGAAATACAAAAAAACTACCCCAGAGTATGTGTTTCACTGCCAGTCAGCTGTGATGTCTGCCACATTTGCAAAATTTCATCCAAATCTTGTTGTTGGTGGTACATATTCAGGCCAAACTGTGCTTTGGGATAACCGTAGCAATAAAAGAACTCCAGTGCAAAGAACTCCACTGTCAGCAGCTGCACACACACACCCTGTATATTGTGTAAACGTTGTTGGAACACAAAATGCTCACAATCTGATTAGCATCTCTACTGATGGAAAAATTTGTTCATGGAGTCTGGACATGCTTTCCCATCCACAGGATAGCATGGAGTTGGTTCATAAACAGTCAAAAGCAGTAGCTGTGACATCTATGTCCTTCCCTGTTGGAGATGTCAACAACTTTGTTGTTGGGAGTGAAGAAGGTTCTGTGTACACAGCATGCCACCATGGCAGCAAAGCTGGAATCAGTGAGATGTTTGAGGGGCATCAAGGACCAATCACTGGCATCCATTGTCATGCAGCTGTTGGAGCAGTAGACTTCTCACATCTTTATGTCACTTCATCATTTGACTGGACAGTAAAGCTTTGGACAACTAAGAATAACAAGCCTTTGTATTCATTTGAAGACAATGCAGACTATGTTTATGATGTTATGTGGTCACCTACCCACCCAGCCCTGTTTGCCTGTGTGGATGGCATGGGGAGATTGGATTTGTGGAATCTCAATAATGACACAGAGGTACCAACTGCCAGCATTTCTGTGGAGGGTAATCCTGCTCTTAATCATGTGAGATGGACCCATTCTGGCAGAGAGATTGCTGTGGGTGATTCTGAAGGACAGATTGCTATATACGATGTGGGAGAGCAGATTGCTGTTCCCCGCAATGATGAATGGGCATGGTTTGGCTGAACACTTGCAGAAATTAATGCAAACCGAGCTGATGCAGAGGAGGAAGCAGCTACCCGAATACCTGCTTAGTTCCTGAAAAGGGGAGTGTAACTAGTGGATTTGGGAAAGGTTCTTAAGTAGATCCTGAGACTATTTGCATGCTTCTATCTAAATGATAATTAAAAGGAAATTTCATGGATTAAACCATGGGTTTAATGCAGCAAGGAAACTTACAATGTCCCTTTATATATAACATGCATCTTGTTTTGGATTTGTGTCATTTTTTAATATAGCTGATTGACTTCACAGAAAGCAGCTTTTTTGAATTCTAATACATAGGTGTATATTTGGTATTAGTTATTTTGAGTTCTTTTCAACTTATAACACTGTATACAGTTATTTCTAAAGCACAGATGAAATAAGTTCTGCATATTTTTAAATAATCACAGTTCCCTGTTATACAGATAATGTTCTCACTACCCATAATATGTAGGAACATTGTTTCTCCTTAGCCGTAGTATGCATACACCTATCCATGTTCATTCTGACATCCTTTGTTGTCTTTATAATTCATGTGGTAGTTACCTATAAATAAAAACAAATATGAGTTAAAAAAAAAAAAAGCAAGTCCTTAGAGACCTACAAAGAGACTTAGACTCCCACACAATAATAATGGGATGTTTTAACACCCCACTATCAACATTACACAGATCCACGAGACAGAAAGTTAACAAGCATATCCAGGAACTGAACTCAGCTCTGCACCAAGCAGACCTAATAGATATCTACAGACCTCTCCATCCCAAATCAACAGAATATACATTCTTTTCAGCACCACACCACACCTATTCCAAAATTGACCACATAGTTGGAAGTAAAGCACTCCTCAGCAAATGTAAAAGAACAGAAATTATAACAAACTGTCACTCAGACCACAGTGCAATCAAACTAGAACTCAGGATTAAGAAACTCACTCAAAACTGCTCAACTACATGGAAACTGAACAACCTGCTCCTGAATGACTACTGGGTACAAAACGAAATGAAGGCAGAAATAAAGATGTTCTTTGAAACCAACGAGAACAAAGACACAACATACCAGAATCTCTGGGACACATTCAAAGAAGTGTGTAGAGAGAAATTTATAGCACTAAATGCCCACAAGAGAAAGCAGGAAAGATCTAAAATTGACACCCTAACATCACAATTAAAAGAACTAGAGAAGCAAGAGCAAATACATTCAAAAGCTAGCAGAAGGCAAGAAATAACTAAGATCAGAGCAGAACTGAAGGAAATAGAGACACAAAATACCCTTCAAAAAATCAATGAATCCAGGAGCTGGTTTTTTGAAAAGATCAGCAAAATTGATAGACCACTAGAAAGACTAATAAAGAAGAAAAGAGAGAATAATCAAATAGACGCAATAAAAAATGATAAAACGGATATCACCACTGATCCCACAGAAATACAAACTACCATCAGAGAATACTGTAAACACCTCTATACAAATAAACTAGAAAGTCTAAAAGAAATGGATAAATTCCTCGACACATACACCCTCCCAAGACTAAACCAGGAAGAAGTTGAATCTCCGAATAGACCAATAACAGGCTCTGAAATTGAGGCAATAATTAATAGCTTACCAACCAAAAAAAGTCCAGGACCGGATGGATTCATAGCCAAATTCTACCAGAGGTATAAGGAGGAGCTGGTACCATTCCTTCTGAAACTATTCCAATCAATAGAAAAAGAGGGAATCCTCCCTAACTCATTTTATGAGGCCAGCATCATCCTGATACCAAAGCCTAGCAGCAACATAACAAAAAAAGAGAATTTCAGACCAATATCCCTGATGAAAATCGATGCAAAAATCCTCAATAAAATATTGGCAAACCGAATCCAGCAGCACATCAAAAAGCTTATGCACCATGATCAAGTGAGCTTCATCCCTAGGATGCAAGGCTGGTTCAACATATGCAAATCAATAAATGTAATCCAGCATATAAACAGAACCAAAGACAAAAACCACGTGATTATCTCAATAGATGCAGAAAAGGCCTTTGACAAAATTCAACAACCCTTCATGCTAAAAACTCTCAATAAATTAGGTATTGATGGGATGTATCTCAAAATAATAAGAGCTATCTATGACAAACCCACAGCTAATATCATAATGAATGGGCAAAAACTGGAAGCATTCCCTTTGAAAACTGGCACAAGATAGGGATGTCCACTCTCACCACTCCTATTCAACATAGTGTTGGAAGTTCCGGCCAGGGCAATCAGGCAGGAGAAGGAAATAAAGGGTATTCAATTAGGAAAAGAGGAAGTCAAATTGTCCCTGTTTGCAGATGACATGATTGTATACCTAGAAAACCCCATCATCTCAGCCCAAAATCTCCTTAAGCTGATAGGCAACTTCAGCAAAGTCTCAGGATACAAAATCAATGTGCAAAAATCACAAGCATTCTTATACACCAATAACAGACAAACAGAGAGCCAAATCATGAGTGAACTTCCATTCACAATTGCTTCAAAGAGAATAAAATACCTAGGAATCCAACTTACAAGGGATGTGAAGGACCTCTTCAAGGAGAACTACAAACCACTGCTCAATGAAATAAAAGAGGATACAAACAAATGGAAGAACATTCCATGCCCATGGGTAGGAAGAATCAACATTGTGAAAATGGCCATACTGCCCAAGGTAATTTATAGATTGAATGCCATCCCCATGAAGCTACCAATGACTTTCTTCACAGAATTGGAAAAAACTACTTTAAAGTTCATATGGAACAAAAAAAGAGCCCACATTGCCAAGTCAATCCTAAGCCAAAAGAACAAAGCTGGAGGCATCACGCTACCTGACTTCAAAGTATACTGCAAGGCTACAGTAACCAAAACAGCATGGTACTGGTACCAAAACAGAGATATAGATCAATGGAACAGAACAGAGCCCTCAAAAATAATGCCACATATCTACAACTATCTCATCTTTGACAAATCTGACAAAAACAAGAAATGGGGAAAGGATTCCCTATTTAATAAATGGTGCTGGGAAAATGGGCTAGCCATATGGAGAAAGCTGAAACTGTATCCCTTCCTTACACCTTATACAAAAATTAATTCAAGATGGATTAAAGACTTAAATGTTAGACCTAAAACCGTAAAAACCCTAGAAGAAAACCTAGGCAATACCAGTCAGGACATAGGCATGGGCAAGGACTTCATGTCTAAAACACCAAAAGCAATGGCAACAGAAGCCAAAATTGACAAATGGGATCTAATTAAACTAAAGAGCTTGTGGACAGCAAGAGAAACTACCATCAGAGTGAACAGGCAACCTACAGAGTGGGAGAAAATTTTTGCAATCTACTCATCTGACAAAGGGCTAATATCCAGAATCTACAAAGAACACAAACAAATTTACAAGAAAAAAAAAAACCCATCAACAAGTGGGCGAAGGATATGAACAGACACTTCTCAAAAGAAGACATTTATGCAGCCAAAAGACACATGAAAAAATGCTCATCATCACTGACCATCAGAGAAATGCAAATCAAAACCACAATGAGATACCATCTCACACCAGTTAGAATGGAGATCATTAAAAAGTCAGGAAACAACAGGTGCTGGAGAGGATGTGGAGAAATAGGAACACTTTTACACTGTTGGTGGGACTGTAAACTAGTTCAACCATTGTGGAAGTCAGTGTGGCAATTCCTCAGGGATCTAGAACTAGAAATACCATTTGACCCAGCAATCCCATTACTGGGTATGTACCCACAGGATTATAAATCATGCTGCTATAAAGAGACACGCACACATATGTTTATTGTGGCACTATTCACAATAGCAGAGACTTGGAACCAACCCAAATGTCCAAAAATGATAGACTGGATTAAGAAAATGTGGCACATATACACCATGGACTACTATGCAGCCATAAAAAATGATGAGTTCATGTCCTTTGTAGGGACATGGATGAAGCTGGAAACCATCATTCTCAGCAAACTATCGCAAGGACAAAAAACCAAACACCACATGTTCTTACTCATAGGTGGGAATTGAACAATGAGAACACATGGACACAGGAAGGGGAATATCACACACCAGGGCCTGTTGTGGGTTGGTGGGGAGGGATAGCATTAGGAGATATACCTAATGTTAAATGACAAGTTATTGGGTGCAGCACACCAACGTGGCACATGTATACATATGTAACAAACCTGCACGTTGGGCGCATGTATCCTTAAACTTAAAGTATAATAAAAAAAAATTAAACATAAAAAAAAGAGAACAGCACAGATGTGATGATCAATAACAATGGGTGTGGATGAGACAATAGGAACCCCTGCCAGACTGTCACAGTCAGAAAATATGTGCCCCATCTAAAGGGAACTGTCACTACTCATTGGTGCCATGAGAAAATGCAGGCCCAATGTTGACGGATCCTCCCATTTCTTTTAATGACAAGTCAGTAATGCAGGTGTTTATCTCAAATTTCTTGATTTTCAAATGTCGGCCAACAATTCCTAAAAAAGAAACCCAAACATGTTTATCGCTCTTCAGATCAACACTATGCAGGACAAAATGAAAATAGGTTGTCCACAAGTTGCAACCTCTGATTTAATCCATTCTTTCATTCACAAATACTTTCCGAGCATCTATGGAGTACCAGACACTGTGCTAGAACAAAAGGATACAATTCATAAGATGAAGTTCCTGCCCTAAAAATATTACAATCAAATGTCAAAATAGAGATGATGTCCAAGTAATTACAGTATTGAACTGTGAGTACCTCTGGGGTATGTAAGAGGAAACCCTAACCCAGACTTGAAGAGGATCAGAAATAGCTTTGACAGGTGGAGATCAGAAAGGTAGCTGTTAACTTAGTGCAACTCTGGCTGCATAACAAACCACCCCAAAACGTAATAGTTTAAAATAACAACAATGTGTTATCTCATAATCTTGTGCATTAACAATTTGGGCTGGGCCCGGCTAGATAGCTCTGACTTGAGACTTTCTAATCCATCAACCAACAGAGAGCTGCTGGGTTGGTTGGGTGTTGTGTGGGGACTGTGGTTTGGGATAGCCTCAGCTTGGACCACTTGTCTCTCCTCCACATCATCTCTCATTCTCCAGCAGGCTAGCCCAGGTTTGTTCACATGGCAGCTGAACAAGCTTCCAAGAGAATGAGTGAAAACATGCAAGCCTTTTGATGCTGAGGCTCAGAACTGGCACAATGAACTTCCTCTGCATTCCCTGTTACCAAAATAAGCAAGTCCCAGAACCAGCCCAGATTCAAGGGGAGGGGAAATTGTCTCCACCTAGTGATGGGAAGTCACACTGAAAGGTGTGGTCACAGGGGTGGGTGAAGGACTGTGGCTATTTTGGTAATGTACTTCACCTGATAAGAAGGCATGATGTGCGCAAGACCTGAAGATAATTGAGACAGAACATGGAGTTTGGGACATTCCAAGTTGTTTAGGATGGCAGGAGCAGAGAAGGCAAAGGGGTTTGAGGGAAGGCATGACAAGCGTGGTCAGAAGTCAGATCATACAGGACCTACCATGTATGCAGCCCAGTGAAATAGAGAATCTTGGGTTTTTTGTTTGTTTGTTTGTTTTGTTTTTATGGCTTTCTCGTAAAAAAAAAAAGATTATTTTGCCAATACAAGACAATAATTGCAAAATAAATACAATGTAAGCTTAAACATAGCATCCTAAATAAAATGTTCTGGGGACTCATAAAGAAGATATATCTTATCTAGTTTGAAAAATTACAGAAGTTGTCATTAAAATGTAGAATTCAAACTGAACTTTGAAGGACAAAAAGGATTTTGCCAGGCAGGGTTATAGAGGTGAGGCAAAAGATGAGCATCCACCAAAGTGCAAGAATGGGAAAACCCAGAACATATGGAATCGCAAGCATCGTGGCTTGGCTAAGACGAGGGCAGCAGTTCTCAATCTTATTTTACATTAACCTCCTGAAAGATGATATTCATATGTAACTCTCCCACATTCATACCCTGATTATGCCAGAGTTAAGACAGGCTATGGAGTTATGCACAATTGCCAGCTGTCGGACTATAATCCCACCCTCTCTCGCCCCATGGTCCATTGTGAGGCTGAGTCTGAGATCTGCTAATGCAGGCTTTTGTAGGGGAGCCATGACGATTGCACCTGAAATAAGTTACGGACAGAGCCTGGAGGTGCTTAAATGCCAGGCTAAGGGATTTAATGTTAGTGAAGGCAGTTAAGAGTCCCTGAACATTTTTAAGCAGGACAGTACAAATAGAGCTGCGTTTTGCCAATATTCATCTGGCAGAAGTGGGTAAGTAGAGCAGGGAGAGTCTAAGAGAGGATGCTTCTTCCCTATCCCTGAACCACCACAGGCATGATGAATTGATCGAGGGACTTATTTCTGAGAAGCCCAAGCAGATCCTCCAAATTCTTCTCAGCATAGTGTTCTAATGGCGGGGGAAGGGGTGGAGCTAAAAAGTCAATTGAAACCTAATGGACACCCTTGGACTGAAGACAGTCAGCTCTTTAAGAGGTGAGACATCATTTAGGTGGGAAGCAGAGCCAGGGCGGCGTTTGGAAGTGGAAGTGGAAGTGGAAATGAAAAGGAAGAATACTTTGAGAAGTGTTAGCAAAGTGTGTCTGTATGACTTGGCACTTGTTTCATGTTGGGGGGGTGAAGGGGAGGGGCAACTAAATATCATTCCAATTTTTTGAGCTTATGAGAGAATATGGAGCCATTACCTACAATAAGAAATGAGAAAACAAACTGATTAGGAAGGGAAGAAGAATATAGATGGAGTTTGAGTCTTTAGTATAAACTTCAGGCCTAAGATTATTAGAATGAAGGCTGAGGCTAAAGTTTGTAAGAATAAACACATAAACATGAATCTCATGAACACGGGATTTCCCCCAAGATACTCAGCAGCATTGAATGAATGCACAGGGGAGAGAAGTCAATTTCTTATTTCCCCTAAAAATACTACATTATCACTCAAGAGTCCTGGCAGAACCAAAAACAACTGGAAAGGAGAAAAAGTAAATGCAAAAGAATTTTGGGTTTTTTTTTCTGCATAAGAGAGGAGTAGGAGAAATGGCTCCTGCATTGAACACTTGACCATGGCTGCACAAGTGGAAACCACAGCATCCTACCCCGTCTTTCAGCCTTTGCTCTGTGTCTGGAGTTTTGACATAATAGGACATGTGAAAGACTTGATCAAATTATGAAATGTATTGTTCTGCTACCTCCTGATAGAGATAGTTTGTCATGCAACAAAAGTGAGTGCCTATGTTCAGAGGAGGGGAGCTGAATTTCAAGTCATTCCCCTTTCAAGGAGGCAATAAATAATTGTGGGTTTTGAGTATGGATTCTGGATTAAGATTTATTGAGTTCCAATCCCAGCACTACCCTAATATGAGGTTCACTTAATTTCTCTTTGATCCATTCTTTCATCTGTAAAATGGGCCTAATAATAGTATCCATCTCTTAAGGTCATTGTGAGAAGTAAACAAGAAGTACATATTAAGTTCACCCAATTATTAAATACAATTGTTTCATAATTACCTTTTTAGTATAGATGCTCTTATCAAGTGCTAATGAATAATTCTTATACATTAATATAATCCATGGAGAGTTCTCACATTTTCTAAAATGAAAATCCCTTTGGTTTAGGTTTAGCATGACTGGATAAGAATCTTTAAGGACCTGTACATGAATGAATGCCTCCTATAAAGAAAGCTCTTAGAGGCTTCCCCAATCTCTGAGACGACATAAAGTGATCTTAGCCATAGAGTTCATCTGCTATGGGGTGCCAGTCATACCCTGTCTCCATGGATATGAGATTAGGAAGATGGATTTTGAAAAATGACCTTCCACATTGGGGTTTGGAGAACTTCTTGTTTCTACTTCCATTAACTCAGAAAAGGTAAAGGAGCTAAAAAGTATTCAAGTACTCTTCATTTCAGCTACAAAGATTTCCTTATAAATTTTTCCTCCTTAGGGGAGACCCCATCTCTAAAATAATAATAATAATAATAATAAATAAAAATAATTTAGCCAAGCATGGTGGTGCACGCCTGTGGTCCCAGCTACTAGGAAGGTTGAAGTGGGAGAATCTCTTTAGCCTGGGAGGTTTAGGCTAGAATGAGCCGTGACTGCACCACTGCACTCCAGCTTGGGCAAGAGAGCAAGACTCTGTCTCAATTAAAAAATGTCAATTAAAAAAAAAACTCCCACTCTTATAGTAACATACAGATGGAATTATGTGACTGATTAAGCAGGATGAGAAGTTTGAGCACTTACGAAAGTAGTAGCCTTCCCTGGAAAGGTGACTTGCCCAGAATACTCCCCATTTGCAAACTCTTAAAGAGTTGTCTTGCTAACAAAAATTGATCTTGGATCTGTCATGATGTCCTATAACAATACAAAGCCATTTTTTCCTCCTAATTTCTTAAACCAGAACATCATGTCTTTATGAAAGAATTTTTGCAAAAATATTGGCGGTGGTGAGATGCCAAATGTTAACACCTGGCTCTTCAGGAATAAAAGCTCTAATGTGTAACATTCACCCTCCTCTATGGTGTGAATACTCCTACCATAATTACTTTCAAACAATCAAATGACATTGCTGAAAGTGAAGCTGGGAAGGTCTGCACACAATTGGTTCTGACGAGCCAATATGAGCTGTCCCCAACACACCATTGTCCCTGTACAAGCCACCTCTTAGGCCACCAATGAGGCGTTTCTCAAGTCAACTTTCAGATGACAATGCCGCCCTCGGAGCTGGAAAAGCAATGGGGAGCAGGAATTGAGACTGGATTCTCCAGGTGGTGTCAAAACCATACCCACCCAGTGCAGACTGCTTTGTTTTGTATCATGAATAGGTTTTGAGGCTTTTCCTTATGTCAGCTGCTTTTCCCAGACCAGGCCAGTCTAAAAGAGCAATCAGGAAATGTGGGTAACAATAAAAACAATATTGAAAACAGTTCCAGGAGATTCTCTGAGACTTTCAGGGGTCTCTTTCCTGGCAGAGTCCCAAAAAGCTCATGTCACACTCCTGAGTGGACAATAAATTCTCCTTCCCAGTCACCAATGGCATTATCTGCACTGCCCTCTGGTGGCTTCCGTGGCTGCCATAATCTGGTGATGACTGAGCCCTGACCACCTTCTCTTCAAATGTCTTATTGTGGCTGAAGCTTTTCTCAGTAAGATGTGTAGAGAAGCCTCACTGAATCATAGGTACAACCGTTATTGGACTCCACTTTTCTGAAGGAATTTGGGACAAATTCCCTCATACTGAATGGGAAGACAGTTGAGCAGCAAAACTTAGAATTAAATTGGCTTTGAGTCACATAGTCCCTTGCTACAGGGAGCTCTGGGGTGTCAGAGTTCCCTTCTCGCTCAGATGATCCCTGACACTCAAATCTAGTGATATGGGGTGATTCCTGTTTTGGAGTCTTGATCCTGGAGAGGAGTAACTGGCCATCTCAAGGCTTCTATTTCCATTTTTTCATGGGTACCCATTTCACTCTGATGCTAGCAAAACTCCTAGTGCCTGCCACAAGGGACAGTTCAGATTAGCTTGGTTCCTTTCCTCCCTCTCCATGATGTATTTGCACTGGAAATGAGATGTATCCTCCACTTTTCTCATCTACGTTGACTTGACCTTGCCTCTTAGCAGAGAAGCAGGTGCTTCTTTCTCTGAGGAGGACATTAAGAGACTGGCAAAGTGTCACTGCAGAGAGGCTCTGGAAAGGTGCCAATCTGGAAGAACTTCAGAGTCTGCTCCTGGCTGCTTTAACCAATGAGGCAAGATTTCCAGGTATCACCTCACATCGCAGCTCTTTTCCTTTGTCAGCAGTGATAGGAATGGGGCTTGCCTTCCTCATCCTCCTACCAAGAATCTACTTCACGGGACTGTGGAGGCAACACAGAGAAAGAGTGTGTAGTAGTGCTGTGTGAACTACAGAGTGCTCAAAAGATGTTATTTATTGGAATGATGATCCCGCAGGCAAAGTTAATTGCATAATCCATTTCTTCCTCTTAAGCTTTGTACACTCTCCTGTTTTGGTACTCAATATGTAATGAGTGTGTGTGTCTCCATTAGATGATTTGGAGTTAGAGTTCCATCCTATTCCTCTCTGTCCCCAACACCTATGCAGAGGTTGGCATCCAGGATCCCGATTCTACAAATGGATCAACTGAACCCCAAGAAAGTTCAAAGAGCTAACAAGTTGCAGATATAGGATTTGAATTCACATCTCTTGACTCCAACTGCAGAGATCACATCACCCTGACATGTGATAGATTCTCAAAAAAATGCCTAATGAATATATTTGTGAATAAACCTTCCTCTTCTTTAACCCTTGCCTTAGGATATCTGCTCTGGTATTGTACATTGAAAGAGCAATCAGGAATTGTGGGTAATAACAAAAACAACATTGAAAACAGTTCCAGGAGATCCTATCTTCACATAATTAGACAACTACTAAATACATCAAATAAATTAACCAGCTGGTTGACATATGAAGTGGTGTAGAGGCTGAACAAGGATACTACAGGAGCTTCAAGTTGTAGGGAAAAGTAGCAGGATGCAGGAGGCACAAAACCAGGAGTAGACTTGATGGCCATCTGAGGGCAGAAGCACTTGCTATAAGACAAGGGTCATCTCACCTCAAGGATAATGCACATCAGTGGCTTTTACGAGGTTTCACTTATGAAACCCCTAAAAGAATTTTTTAATATCATCTACTCCCTTGCACATTTTTTGGAAATGACATCTAAAACTCTTATAGGCTTAAATAGAACTTAGTTGCAAGACATATTATCTAATTTTCTGTATACCGTACACATATTTTAAATGTAGTTTGGCTAATACTTTGAACAGCAGAATCAACGTATTAAATTTACAGAAAATATCCACCACAGATGCTAATTAGCCAAACCAACTTCATCATCAAATCAGGCAGTGCAATCAGAATTGTTGCTTAAAAAAAAAAAAAGCCTGCAATTTTTACTTCCAATAAAGGCATTCATACATATACCCTGTCCCCATGATAACCTTCTCACTCCTCAACTATAGTTCTAAGACAGTCAGAGACAAGGCACAGAGCCTTTGGCATGAGTTTGAAACCAGGACAAAATGAGATACGATCTGTTTCTTTTTGCTTTGCTCTTACTGAACCCTTCCTCTGAATCAATGTGTACTGAAATCATCCATTTGTGTGACACCAGGAGATCCCTATACTCCTTGGGAGTGTCCCACAGTGAGATTCCAAGTGTGTGAGAAGTTCATCTTTATTTTCTGAAGCAGGAAAACTCAGATGAATTCCTGGGCAAAAAAAAAAAAAAAAAAAAAAAAAAGTTTGGAAAAGAGTTCAAATGGAAGTTGAGGACCTGGACACTGATTCCCTCCAATATTGACTATTCCCAGGGGCTCCTGAAAGTCTTCAGTCACCTTCACCTCCACCACTATACACAATGTTTTCCAGATCCTGCTCTCATGCCCCAGTTCCCCTCTTTCCAGGACTCGGTAGTATCCTCAATCTGGCTTCATTGACCACCACTGAGGCACCTGCCCAAGTTTTTTTTTTTTTTTTTTTTTTTTGGTTGCCAGCCCCCAGCTTTCAGAGCCCAGCCTCCAAATTCCTGGTTCTTGCTACCTTTCCTTCCTCTTGGCAATGCTCAGGGACAGCAATTTTAAAGAGGCATTAAACCGATTTGTACAAAAGTATTAATGACTAATAGCCTGCCCAAGTTTTAAGGTACTGTTTGCATCTTTCAAAAGAAACTTGTTTACCAAAGGAGCCTCCCATTGGTTGGAAATTCAGGATAATATAAGAGAAGCTGTGGGGGCTGGGGAGAAAATATTCTAGATGATTCCAAGACAGTTGAAGACCATCTTGAATGCTGTTCTGGGAAGCAGTCACTTGTTAGGTAGGATCTAAGCCTGACAAGCAATATTCCATATTTTCAATCTGCAAGGGATGCTATTTCCTATAACTGGGAAAAAGTCCCCAGTGTCCTATAGTCAGTTGGTGGCTGATACTGCAGTGCTAGGATTGAGATAGAATGAGATCCAGGCAAACTTTACTTAAGTCCCTGTATCCTTGGAAATTTTATCAAATCCAAGTCTTTTTGGGTAGTTCTAGTCTACTCTGAGTCTTAGATATTTTTAAATTCATAGAAAAGAAAAAGACATTCAAAGTGATGGGAAAGGCCAGTGAGTCAATCTCGGAGACTCATTAAAAGAACTGGGAATCTGAAGGTTATTTCAGGGCACACTGCATACACCTGAGGCCGAATTTGTCAGGTTGTAAGAAAGAAAATGACCATATTCAAGATGAAGTTTCTCTCATTCAGGCATATGGTAAATTTGGAGAAGTTTGTTCTCTAAGTCTAAGGATTTGATTCTTGCCTTCCAAAATGGCCTAGGAAGATGGATTTATGCCACTTAGCTTCACCAATTCAGTAAATAACTCTTCAAATGAAATCCATATCTCTGAATGTAAATATGAAGATTCACAGAAAGAACAGCAAAAAGATATCATTTGAATTAGACTGTAACCATGACATTCAAATGACCTGACCACACAGCACTGGAATCCAGATAGAATTAAAGAAAATCTGCCATTGCAATCAGAAACATAAGTGAATATGAGGAAACTACCCTTCCACTCCCCTGCTCCCAACTACTTATTTTCATGATAAACAGCAGGTTAATAAACATCTGTTCCTTCTCAGTGTCCAAGGGATCTTGTTTGCAAACATCAACCACAATTGCTTTGTTCTCTCAGGAGAAAACAAAACACTTTCAATCAAAGCAAAGCTACATACCCAGACCTGCTGCAGCAGCTGCTTGTTCAAAACCGCATGTCATTCCCCTGCAAGCCAGAGTGCTGGGACGCTTTGGTATCCTCTGCCCCTGCTCTTCTGAGCAGTGCTGCAGGTTAACTCTGGGAGGCTGGACACTCTAACCAGGGAAGCCCAAGCCTCGCCAGCTTAACTACTTATGTGCTGACTCATGCGCAGGGCAGGACACACCTCTGCTGAGCCTGCTGATGGACAAACCCCTGCACCATCCTTGGAAGGTCACACCTAGAGTTCTTCATTTTGCACCCTGAACAAACGTAACCTAGGAGATGGTCATTCATTTTTTCATACTGACCTGCTTGTCCTATTTGGTTTGGAAAATAAATATTTAATTCTTTCTCTACCCTATCAACTACATACCACTGAGAGGAGACTTTACGGGACAAATCAGCACAGAGATGTAAGTTAAGACCACTTTGGATGAATGAGTTAAGCTCTGGGAGAGAAGATGCCCCCATTTTTCTAGAGGAATTACAAATATATGGAGGAAACTGATTGCAGGTAATCACCTTGGTACTTTTAGGAAGCAAACGAGACCATGTTTACATTTTCCTGTTGTCCTTTCCAAGCAAAACCAAAAATCAACATTCTGCAGTATTGCCTTCATTTTAATCTACCTGGAAGTTGGTAGGGTTCCCAGGGGAAAAGTTCATTCTTCTAACCCTTTGGGCTCAGATTAGCAGGTATCAAAGGTAGGGAAAAGAAAGCAGAAGTTTTTAATGTTTGATTAGATCTTTGAAGTTTGCTTCATTCTACCCATGCCAATATGCAAGAGGCAAATATATAGTTTTCTTTAGGCTATGACAGAGTCCACCATGGGACTTGCATGGAAGTAGAAGTTGAGTGCAAGGCAGACAGGAGTGGTACAAGTGTTTGGTTAAAAAAAAAAAACAAAACAGGAATTGCTGACGGCAAGCATGAAGTAGACTTGCAGTCCTGTGGGCTTTGGAGTGAGAGAGTTACTGCAGAGGCTCTCGCTTCTTCCCACTGACTGGAGCTGCAGTGTTGCCAGCTGAGCTTCATTAGCTACTAATTGGGCTCCAAGGCTCTGGGGCTCCTTTATCTAAAGGTCAAGAGGCTACAGAAAAGGAAGCGAAAATCCACCTGTGCACAGAACACAACTTGTAAACTGATGTGTAATAATAGTAATAATAATCACAGTGATAACTATAACAGCAGACACAACGTTGAATGCTTACTGTATGCCAACAAATTGGCTGCTTTACTTACATTCTGTAGCAAGGACTGTTACCTCTTCAACAAAATCTGTTTTTCCTTCTCCTTCCCAGCCTGCCCTGCCATCAGGATAGCCATATAACTGAGATCTGGACAATGGAAAGTGAGGAAAATTGAAATGCACTAATTCCATTCTTGGTCTATGAAATCTTCCCCATGTGTGATCCTCTAGGTTCCAGGCACAGACTTGGAGGGAGAGATCCACCATGACCTTGGAGATATGGGAGAAAGAAAATGAAAAGCCTCCATCAAAATGAATAACCACATGGAGGAGAGCTGCTGACCTTTGCAATTACTTTTAACTTATGGGGGGAAATGAATGCCAATCTAAAAATGTGCTTTTCAAAATTATTTTAGGGCCATGTAAGCAAAACAGTTTGGAGACCACTTGTATATAAAGACTAGAATCCTTAACTAGGTGTCTTAGTCCGTTTTCCATTGCTATAAAGGAATATCTGAGGCTGGGTAATTTACAAAGAAAAGAGGTTCATTTAGTTCAAGGTCCTGCAGGCTTTACAGGAAGCAGGGCACTAGGATCTGCTTTTGATGAGGCCTCAGGAAGCTTCCAGTCACGGCAGAAGGGGAAGCAGAGCTAATGTGTCACATGGTAAGAGAGGGAGCAAGAGACAGAGAGAGAGGAAAAGGATGTCATGTCCTTTTAAACACCCATGTAAATGGAGCGAAAACTCACTCATTACCATGGAGGGCACCAAGCGATTCATGAGGAATCCGCCCCTTGACTCAGTCACCTCCCACAGGCCTCACCTCCAACAATGGGGATCAAATTTCAACATGAGATTTGGAGGGGACAAACATCCAAAAGATATCACCAGGTATTCATATTCACCCTAACCCAACCAAACCTTTCACTTCATATTTGACTCTGACACCTCTCCTGGTCATTCTCTCATTCCAGACACACAAGTCTCTTTATGGTTCTTGTTTTCTTTTTTTCTCCTCTGCTGTCTCACCCCGACTGTAGTTCAGTGGCACAATCAGAACCCACTGTAACCTCGAACTCTTGGACTCAAGTCATCCTCCTGCCTCAGCCTCCCAATCTTTATGGTTCTTGAATGTATCCGTACTTTCCTGTCTCTGCTCTAACTTTTATTCTCCCCCTAAACACTTTGCCAACAACCCTCCTCTTAACTGAATCTTATCTTGATGCTGAGGCAGTCTGAAAAACACGGCTGCTAACCCTTTGACCCTCCATCTATCAAGAGGTGGGGCTCTGTGTCCTTTCCACTTCAATCTGAACAGGTTTGTGACTGTCAATACAGAATGTGAAAGTGATGTCATGTGACTCTTGAGGCTGGGTCACATATGGCCTTGCAGCTTCCTCCGTGTCCTGGAAAATTTACTATTAGAACTCTTCACCACTTAAGAACTCTAGAAATTCTGAAGCTCCCACACTGGAGAGACCACATAGCTTTGGTCACTGTTCCGGCTATGCTCATCCTTCCAGCTATCCTCACCAAGGTACCAGATATGTGAATGAAGCAGCAGTGGACCTTTCCAAACTGGTCCATCCACCAGCTGAATACCTTGGAGTGAACTCATCAATGCTACATCGAACAAAAGTGTCACTCAGCTGAGCTCTGCTCAGGTTCCTGACCTACAAAGCCATGAGCTATAATAAAAGTATTATTGTTTTAAGCCACTGTGTTTGAGGGAGTTTTTTTGTAGTAAGAGGTAGCTAGAACACCCCTCCTTTAGGACCCAAGACAAGGGTTCATGTTTTGCAGAAGCATTTTCTGACCACTTTCTGAGTTTTCCCATCCTTTAAATTCTGGTCTTGAATGATTTTTCTTAATATAAGGTGTTGTCCTATTCCACCTGGAGTCATGCTCCTTTTATTTCACCATATCTGTTTTTAGCGCCTTATATAATAGGCCTTTGATAAACATTTGTTGAGAAACAAGAACGGTATTCATATAACATGAGGCATATCTGTAACTGTAAGATGGAGGGCAGAGGCTGGAAGAAGGTAGTGCTCACTAGCTGTCTTTTCTCTTTCCAGGAAACAGAATCTTGATTGTGATGGGCAGGTAGCATTTATCCAATCTGGTATTTATTCATGTATTTACTAAGTGCCTACTATTTGCCAGGCACTTTTTTTAGGCCACAGTGATAAGAGTAATGAACAAAACAATGTCCTTTTCATGGTGCTTCCATTCTAACTGGATAAACAAAAACTAAAACTAAGTATAATCTGGTATGTTATAAGTGCTAAGAAGATGAAAGCAAGACAATAGGTAGAAAAGTTGTTTTATGTAGCATAACCAGAGAGGTCCCCCTTATAAGGTGATATCTCAATAGACACCTGAAGGAATTGGGAAGAGAGTGTTAAGGCTTGGTTCTGCCTGGGGAAAAAGCATTCCAGGAAAAAGGAGTGGCAAGTGTAAATGTCCCCAGAGAAGACTGATGGACTGAAGGAACAGAAAATGGCTAGGGTGATTTGAGCAGAGGAAAAAATGAAGCAGCAGTAGCGTATGGGGTCAAAACTTGCAACGTAGAGGTGCAGGGGTTGAAAGTCTGTAAAGACCTTAGAGAACAATGTGAGGACTAGATTTGCTCCCAATGAGATGGGAAGTCATTAGAGATTTTCAAGCAGGACAGTAGAATGATCTGGCTTTAGGAAACGTATTCTGTTATATGTCACCTAGATTCTGTGCAGATCACACAGTGCAGAGGGTCAAGGTTAGAAGCAATAAGTCTAATCTGGGGGCATTTGCAATATCTAAGCAAGAGACTTAGACTAGAGGGCTAGAAGTGGAGATGATGTGAAGTGTCACACCATGAATACATTTTGAAAGATTTCCTGTTGGTTTTAAAATATAAGAGAGAAATAGGGATCAAGAATAATTCCAAGGCTTTTTGGATTCTAGTACTGACAGAAGGGCATTGACATTTTCTAACATGGAGAAGAGTGTGACAGAAGTAAGTTTGGACAAAGAGAATCAAGCCTTGGGTATCTGCAAAATGGGATTTTTAACTCAAGACCTTATAAAAATGACTTACTACAATTGGTTGACAATAATCTAATATCTGTAAAGACCATAATAGACAAAGGTATTTCCCAAAAGGTGATAGGTTTTTAGGTAGTACAGAGTACACATTTTTTAATTATTACATATTGATTTCATTGTGAATTAGAAATATACAATATATAGAGTAGGGCTAAAGCAATTTTTAATGAAGTCATTTAAAGAAAAACATTAGTTAAGTAATAGTACAAGTGGTAAATAGTTATGGGGAAAAATCATGTTAGTTGTACACTAATAGATAAATTTTGGGAAATACTGAAATACAATTTAATATCCAATTAATTCAAGTATCTGTAAAGATCAGTCTCTGCCACTGAATCCTTTCTGATCCACTACAAATTCTTATTCGTCTTCAGTTGACCAATCGCTGTCTATGACACCCCATCACCACCATTTTTTTTTCACATGAGGACTTCTCGGGGGCAGTGTGTCCTATACCAAAAGCCAAAAATAGCGTGTGTAGATTATTCTCACTCCATGTTTATATATGATTGCTCAAAGTTTGCTCTAATTGGAGTTCTTAGTGATTTGATTGATTTATAGACAAGAATTTGCTTTCCTCCAATAAATGCCGAACAAGGCCAGTTGCTGCCTTAACCCCTCTCTCCTTAGACAGCTCTAAAGGCTGCAGGCAGCTCTGTCTTCAAACTTTAGCAAGTGGTTCCATTTGGGTCTGCCCCTGTGCTGCCAGTGATTTTCAGTCTTTTAGTCTTTCAATCTTTCAGATGACTGTGGTTGGTAGGAAGAATCACCTCCTGCTTAGAGTGGAAACCAGAAAGAAAGTATCCCATGAACCAGAACACGGTCCTTGCTACCTACTGCCCCCATAATACATTTAAGCCCTTTTGCACTCAATCGCGAAAGACAACCCTATAAAGTAACTACTATTATTCTACTCATTTTACAAATAAAATAATATCTGAGGTTCAAATAGCTGAGTGTCCAAAGTCATTTGGCCAGCCTAAGTGACACAACTTATTCTCTGACCCCTTAGTTTTCCAACAGCTTCAGTGGAGACAATAAGCACTTTGCAGGGTTACTTTATCATAGTGGTCCCTCCTTCCCAACTTTCCTCACCCTGAATCCAGGAAAACTTGAGGAAAATTCAGAGATTACTATTTTAGCTAAGTATAGGGCTTTTCCCTTGCTGAATGAAGTGTGCAGACCTGTATTGACAGCGTGGCTACACGACAGGTTTGGAGGACAGAGAGAAGCCAGGGGAGAGAAAGAATATTTGAGTAAGAGTGAGGGAGGTCTAACTTCATTTTGTAGAACACATTTTGTAGAAAATTGGGTTCATTTCCTCCTTAAATACTTGGTAGAATTCACTAGTGAACCCGTCCAAGCTTCTAATTTTTTTTTCTCATTTCTAATTTTTGTGACATGTGAGCTATAGTCCCACTTCCTCAAGGCCACCCTGGTGCGGGCAACATTGTATTTCTTCACCTGGAGGCCAGCTACTCAGGTATACTCAGTCTGTGAAAATTAATATCTATGTGCTTTTCTGTATATATGTAATACTTCAGTAAAATTTATAAAAACAATTTTACTCTATAAAATTAAGAAGGAAAAGGATCTCTGATTTAAACTGGCTTAAAAAATAAGGAAAATTGTTAACTCAAGAAACAGAAATTCCAAGGAGAACAGCCCCAGAGTTGGTTATTTCAGCACCCAATGATATCATTAAGGATCCAGGTCCTTTCCATGTGTTAGCCTTTCTCCAGAGCTACAAAAGTTCTATGTATTACATCTAGACACAACATTGCCCAGAGGAAGTGGATTTTCATCAGTAGGTATCTTTTCAAGAGCAAGAAAAATTTTTAGAAGCAGGTCTGGTAACTGCTTATAAAATTGAATGTACATTTACCCTGTGCCCTTTCAATCCCTCACCTGGGTATTTACGCATGAAAAATGAAAATGTATATACATACACACACATATATGTGTGAGCACACTCATGCACAGATACACACAAAACATATACAAAAATCTAAGCTGCTTAATTCATAATATTCAAAACTTATAAACAGTCCAGATATCAATCTACTGAAGAGTAGATAAACAAACTGTGGTACATTCATGCAGTGGAATACTGGTCCCTAATAAAAAAAGAATGAATTACTAAAATACAGCATCAATGAATCTAAAAAATATTATGCAGCATGTAAAGAAATCTGCCCACCCTCCCCTCCACACACACATATACACACACAGACACACATATATAAATACATGGTGGAAAAAAATCTATGGTAGAAAACTAGTGTAAATACAGTGAATATTTACCTAAGGGAGTGGAGGAGAAGAGGGCTGGCCAGGATTGAGTGAGAAGAGGTATAGGGAACTTTCTCCATATCTTGAGAAGTGTTTAAGTTACTTAGGCACATGCATTTGTCAAAACAGCAACTATACACTTAAAATTTGTGCATTTCATTATCTATAAATTCTATGTCAAAAGAAAAATAGACCATGATCAAATTTTGAATTTCAGTTTATTATATGCATGGCAAAGGATTTAGGGAGAAATGCACATGTATCTTCAATTTACTTCGAAATGCATCCAAAAAAATACGATTAATTGATAGATGGATAAAGAGATAGAGAGTTTGATATGTGGTAAAGTAAGTAGAGTAAAATACTGGGAGAAACGAGGTGTAGTTAGATGGATTATCATTGTGAAATTCTGCTCCAAAGCAGAACAGAAACCAGCAGGCTTTGCTATTGAATTTGGCTGCCTTTCCTGCTCTGACCTCTTTTTAGCAGTGGGAAGATTGCCATCAATGCCTCATCATTTTTGTCAAACGAGAAAGGCTTGGATTTGGGCCCCCTTCATTTCCAGCAAGAAAATAGATTTCCTAAGGCCTGGGTAAATTCATTGTTGTTACTGATTTTAATTGATGATTCAGCCCTGAACATCTTGAGAATTTAAGCCAGTGTTGATAGCCCAGATCTGCAGGAAGCCAAATTGCCCCAGTTCTCCATACTTGCAGTGTGTTAAAGTGACATTTCAGATAGCTTCCCATCTAATTTGGGGGACTTTTTGTTTGAATTCACATTTAGCGAATGTTAAATAGTGTGTGGGGGTTATGTGTGCTGAATACATTGACATTTTTCTCTCCTGGAGGAAGAATCGTTTTCTCCCTTTCTTTCTATCCTCAACAAATTTTACTGTGTGTTCGATGCAATCGGTACAGAGATTGTGGGACAAGACCTTCTGGCTATTTCCCTATCTTCAGTTCCTCTGCCCTCCTGCAGTTGCATGCCTCTATGCTCAGAAACCAGGAGCCCCAGGGGAAACCTTGTTAGGCAGCCACTTGCCCATAGGGGTTCAGAGTGTCCACCGTAAGCTGCACGGGAAGGAAGAGCAAGCCATGTCGAACAATCCCTCTGGTGTCAGCTCATGAGCACAGGAATGTGCACCCAGATCCTGCACAGAGACATTTCCAAAGGGGACATGTGCCAGCAGCACTAGTTGGACACAATTCCTTTTCAAGCTGTTTGCTGTACATGTTCATCCCTAGAGCCTATGGAGAAATGAGCTAGCAAATGCCTACAAATTCATCTCCTGGCCTCTGGTATGGAGCCCATGAGGCTCATGGAAGCAGCTGTAATGTTGCCTGCTGTGAAAAGGAAGTTGGTGCCATACCCTCACCTGTTACCCTCTGCTAGGGGAGCCTGTCACAGCCAAACGCCAGCCAGAGGTCAAAAGCCTCCCTTGGCCAATAAGGCGGGTAATGAACACACTTCCCATAGGCCTGACAATGACAGGACTTCGGCCAAACTCAGAGCCAGTGATTTTAGAGAAGCCTTCAAAACAAACACTTTAACAGCCAAATCATGCCTGTTCCAAAAATGATTTTTGTTTCTTAATTTTAGGTTTTTTCCCCCAAAAACATCCTTAAATAACGAGAAGCATTTCTACACATCCCCAGAGGGAAGCCAGATATGTACCTTTTCATGGACACAGGCTCTTCATTAAAAAGAAAATGCATAAGAGGCAGTGTGCTTTGACTGAAACTTCTCCTCATGGTACTAAATACTACTAGAAGAAAGCAATTCAAACTCCACCAGTTCCTTCATGTGATGACACAGAGCTGGCAAGGGAAGCAGCCTTTAGGTGCCAATAAATCATGGTGGCCACATGTGTTTCTGCTTCATTGCTACCCTGTATGGGTACTCACCCTCCAAGATCCCATGCCATGCTATTTCAGAGTCCATCAATACTCCAGCAACCACTGTCCATGCACATCAGGCTTGCAGAATGCTAGAGCAATTATGTTACCAAAGGTTATAAGACGTAAATATGTTTGGACAGAAGTTCAAATAAAGGTTGAGTCTGGGCTTGCCCCGGTTTCCCACCAAGTTGGCCTTGCTGTATCTGGGGCCCATCTTTCCATTAGCTGGGACTTCTTTCTTGGCTCCACAGGGGCCTCCTTTTCATTTCTCTCTTCCCCATTTTTCTCTCTATAAAAACAGTGGTCATTTACGGAGCATTTAGTCTGTACTCACAGGCCATGACTGCCCCACATTATGCTACAAGATAGATTTCTATCTATCTACAAGATAGATAACATTGTCCCTAATTTGTCAAGAAGAAAACTAAGGCTCTGAAAAGAAAATAGTCATTTTCTGTAGGGCACAATGCCTGTAAGTTAGTCATTTTCTGCAGGGCATAATGCCTGTAAACAGTAGAGTTGGGATCTGAACACACAACTGAGTTCCCAGTCCATGCCCTCTTGGATACACCATACTTCCTCTATCTCCTTCTGTAGTTTCTTTTTTCCCCAGGGTAACTACTCTCATTCTTCATAACATGGTAGAGTATGTATATTCACTATCAAACCTTTATTCAGTGCCTCAAACACAAGTTAAACGGGAAGAAGGTGCCTAGCTCATTTCCCAAGCAGAAGTATTTTCTTTGAACTTGTTATTGCCCCTCTTATTCACTCCCCAAAGGCTTTCTGGATCCCCCAGACAAGTGGGTACCTGCACAATCCACTGTGGTCTGCAGAGTACATTTCATTCCCAAACAGCACAATGATAAATGGTAACACTGATTTTAAGGGTTTCTAGTTGTGTTGGTGTAAACTAGAGCAGCTTCTAGGATCAGGAGGCCTCTAGGAGATTAGATAACTCTATTAATGATATGATATGTGCCCTTTCAGAAACTATTCTGAATGATATGTGCCCTTTCAGAAACTACTCTGAGTTTATACAGATGTCCGTCAGATTGTGATGGGATTATGTCCTGATAAACTCATAGTAAGTTGAAAATATTGCAAGTTGAAAATGCATTTAATGTACCTAACCTCCTAAACATAGGTTAACCTAACCTACCTTAAACGTGCTCAGAACACTTACCTTAGCCTGAAGTTGGACAAAATAATCTAACCCAAAGCCTATTTTATAATAAAGTGTTGAACAGCTCATGTAATTGACTACTGTACTGAAAGTGAAAAAGAGAATGGTTGTATGGGTACTTGAAGTGTGGTTTCTGTTGAACTCATATCACTTTCACGTCATTGTAAAGTTGAAAAGTTGTACGTCAAACTATTGTTAAGTCGGGGACCATTTGTATTTGGAAGTGACTATACCTCTCCAAGCACTACCGCATCTTGACTCAAGCCCATGAGAAAAGAGTTGGACGAAGCTCTAGGTGTGAAATAAAGATGCATGCACTATCCTGGTTGAAGTTCTTGCTAGAAATAATGCAAACTAGGATTGTCTACAGGAATAACAACCACTGCTATTTCATACTCACACTGAAAAATGCTTTGGGTAACCCAAATTATTTTAGAACCTATCTTGGGTCATCCAAGCCAAAAAAAAGGCTCATCAAAAAGAATGAGAGAAAAACAATTGACTAAATAGAGAATACTGTACACCATAACTTGACAAAGAATTATGCACCATAACACAGGCCAAGCATTCTAGACTGTAGGCACCTGACATTTTCTCCTGATGTTCTGAGGCTCCTTCTAAGAAATCATATTTGTTACTAACCAATGTCCATAATGATTCTTTATCAGGCCCTAGTTTGGGATGTATCCACGCTGCTCTCAGACAAGTAGAATAGTCAAGAGAAAGAGAGAGAGAGTATTCAGGAGTAGCTCTGCAGTTTGGGCCTTGCTTTAACACTGGGATTTTGTCAAATAAACTATTTTTCTTGCTACAGGCTTATTTCTAATCATGAGGGCCACCTATACCTGGAGTCGAGGACTGCTGGAGATAAATCTCTGACAACCTCATTTTCTCTTTGTCTAAAATTTCCCAATGTACTAGAAGTCTTGATAATCATGAAGTTGCCCAAAAAGGAATTTTCCATCAGACTACTGAGATGGCATTTTGGATAGTCTTTGCCCATCCTAGTCAGAATTACCCCGCACACCTGGGTTACTGATTTACCTATCAAGAGAAAATGGAACTCCAAGGGGGAGTTCTAGCAGGAAGGAAACTAAAAGATTGGAAAAGTGAACTAATTTATGTAGAAAAATGATAGTGAAGGGAAGCTGAGCTTTAGGTTTATGTCAGGGATCACCTCCATGCCTTCCTTGAGGCCCATGTTTTAGATTATGAGATTGCCAGGCCACAGATTTCAGGGTGGAAATTCTTATGTTTATGCTTCTGTCTAAGGCTGAGTTTTAATAGACATCAGACAAATGCAGAATGCAACTTCCAGGCCATTAACACGTCTTTTTGGAGAAGGCTTTTCTGCAGTCTGGAGTAGAAGTAGGAATTCTACTTCTCGAGACTTTCCTAGGAAAAGTCACTCAACAACTTTAAGAACAGGCCTTGAGCACTGTGCTAGGCACTGCAAGGAAACGATATTGAAGCAGAAAAATCTCATAGTGAAACTAGACACATTGAACCACTAACTCATTAGACTCCTAACTTCTCCCTCTTCAACTGGGCTTAATCTGGAAGTTTCTTTCAGGCCATTTCATAAATTCTCAATTAAAAACTTGGGTTAATGAGACATTCTGAGTAATTGAAATTTCTAATTTAAATAGGGCTTATTCAGCAAGCCTTCTTTAAACAGAAAAGTCTTTCTAAAATACCTATTTTACACTTTTGGAAACAGAGCAAAGGGAAGCTTTTAATTATTTCCTTGATGACTAGAAGAGATTCCAATGTCTCAATATTAATGCTCTTCATCCAATGCTAAAGACATATACATAAACATGTACAAGGCGTCAAAGTTCAAGAGCAAGCCAATGGCATTTCTGAGAGAAACTGTTTTTAAGGAGGAAATAATTTCATCTATCTATTTATATTTCTCATAGTTTCTTTTCTTAAAGTCCAAATAATCTAATTTGGTAGAGTACTCATTGATTGAGATTTCCTTTACTATCCTTTGAAAATAGCCCAGACTATAAGTTTTTATGAAGGCAGGCACCCTTGTCTACTTTGTTTGACACCAGCTCCCAATGCTAACACAAAAACATTTGCTGAATGAATGGAGGGAGGTGAAGAGACGAGGGGATGATTAATGTATAAGTGAATGCATGAAAGACTAGCCTTGAAATTCCCAGGGTTCTATGGTCAGCCTCAATCTTGGACATTCCTTATTGTCAGCCCATTTTTATTCCTTTATTACCCAAGAATGCAACTGAAGATAATTTGTGAAATCCCAAGGGCCTGTGAGGCCAACTAATACAAGGATTAGGAAAGCAAAAATCAAAGATTACAACCACTCCACCCTCCAAAAGAAAAAGAGCAGAACCATCCATAGCCATCAAAAACCAATGAAGAGGTATATTTACAAGTGCTCTACAAAGTTAGCCACAGGGGGATGCTAAAGGCTACTGGTAAAGTGTCATGCTTGGAGCTGGCCAATACTTAGGGCTCCATCATGTGATGTCAAAGATTTTTTTTTTCATAAGCCCCTAACCAGATTTTAAATTTATCACCTTGAAAGAAAACCCACAAACCACAAAATAATGTTCTACTCTCACTATAAATTAACCTTCCATGAAAAGCCTGGTGTAATTGGGGTATCACAGAGCCAAGAAGTAGTGCCATGTTCCAATCCATCATCACAATGGAGACCCTTATCATTCACGCAGGGACAATCCACAGAGGCCTAGTGAGAGTGAATACCGATCCATCAAAATGCTTGACAGCTTCTGAGAAATGAATTATACATCAGTATAGAGTTGACCTCAACTTATTTCCACAAAAGTGTTTTATTAAACAAAGACTAATAGAAAGAAATTGGGGCAAAAGAGAAAAATATATAAAAAAAAGATAATACCAAGATCACAAATACATACACTAAAATTCAGTACAGTTGTTAAGAATGGACAATAAATTAGACTCAGTTTCCCAAACACCAAAGCAAAAAAACACAACACAATCAGTATAAAATTTAATGTTCATGAGACAGAATCAGTTGCAGAGAAGAAAATCCAGTTCTACTTCCTATGAAGGCTAAGAAAAATCTCTGCCTATGTGATGTAATATAGTATGTAGTAAACATATGGACCCTCTTCAATGAGATTTTGTTGGTTTGATTCACTTAAAAGATGGATTATTATTCAATGACTATTAAAAGAGCCACACTTGATGTTCTGGCCTGATTGGGACTGTTGGTGTGGTGATGGTGGTGGTATAGAATATCTTGGAGGAAGTGACTGGAAGCTATCCTTCATAAGATTCCATATGGGTTATAAGAGTAACAACTGAGTGTCGGATAAAAATGCAGCACCTCAGCGTGATGACTAATATTTTGATTCTGTACCAGAGGTACTCCATGCCAATTAAAAAGGCAGATCCATTTCTGCCTTTTTACAATTCAGAAGGAAAGATCAAAACTGACACCCAGAGATTCAAGTGCCCACAAAACACTCTGATGTACTCTGCAGTAAAAATAAAAATAACATTGCCATAGGCACTCCCAAATATCTGGCTGTTTGCAGAGCTAAGAACCCCACCACAAAGGAAGTTACCTCAGAGGATGGAACTTGCTGTTTTTGACATATGTTACTACACTTCAGCATATATTCATGGCACCCATCATTGTTATAAGGTATATTGGGGTTTCATTTTCAACTTGCTCCTTTGAGAGGTACTATTTTTTCCCTGATAAAGTTATTTCAAGAACATGCATTTTCATAGAGCAGTATAGCTGAAACCGTCTTGTGTAAATTAATAGTTGTCCATTAGACACTTGGACTTGCATACAGCTGCATCCTGGGTCCTCTCCAGGAGTCACAATGCACATTAGCACATTAATGACTCCGACAAGTCTTACAGCTAAGAAACCTAGAGAATGGCCTCAAAGTTCCCAATGCAATGTTAATTAGAAGATAACTGAATGAAGCACCTCCATTTTCCACTTCAATGCTAATTTTTTTCATGTTCTTCTGGACATCTTTTGTGTTGAGAGTTGGAAGTCATTAAAGCAGACTGATAACGACTTATAGTTCAACTGTTGTTAGGACATAAATTTGTATACCTAGTCATTAAGGATACTCTGCCAATAACTGCTTATTGTTTCCCAAACTTATTTGACCATGCAAACTGTGTCATCAAGGTCTTCTGTTTTCAGCTTCAACATTTAAAGAGCTTGGGAGTTATCACTGTCATCCTTACAATAGGAAGAAGCTGAGCAAACTGCAAAACAAGTTTTTTTGGACCCATCATGGAAATGAAGTCATAGGTACAACCACTGTTCCAAAATCTGGAGAGAGAGTTGCATTCAGAGTCATGGGCAAGATCTGCTTACACGGAGCGGAAGCCGCTAGAGCCATAAACTAATAAGAACACCTACATGGTAAATGACAAATTACTGGAGGTTGCTCCTTGTACTTTAGCCCTTTCTAGTCTTCCCATCTGACTCAGGGAGAAAAAACCGTCAGCAGGCATCAAGGCTTCAAGGAAGCAGACAAAGAATTCTGCAGTCATGGAATTTATGTAGAATAGAGGATAAGAGGAGTGGGTTTACTACCACACTCATGAAGGTCAAGCCTGGAGAAACAGACCCACTAAAAGACAGATTCATGACATGGTTTTAAGATGGCTGACCAGAGGCAGCTGGTACTTGCCTCCCCCACAAACAAGAACCAAAATAGTGAGTATGTAATCATACTTTGGTCACCTATGAGAGAACACTGGAATTCAACAGAGAAGTGACAGGAAACATATAAGGCAAAGGAGGAGAAGGAAGTGAGGCAGCATGCTCAGCTGGGGGACTGAAGAATCTCCCAATTGCGGTGAAAGAGAAAGTGAGTGACTCTCAGCAGTTCACATTCCCACCACAGACTCCTGCAATTCTTGCCACAGGAGAGTCCTTCAACCCACACAGGCCCTGAGACTAACATAGGGAGCTACCTAGAGATTTCTTGAAGGAATTGCTCCAGAAAGGAAGCTCACACCAGGTCCCATGCCCACCCCCAGTACTAAGCAGCTATAGCAAAGCACTATTTTGAGAGCGCAGTCTCCACCAGAATGCCCTGGAGCCCAACATCTCCTGCATCTTCACATCCCTGGAGCCCCACTGACATCCCACACACACAGCAGGGAGCTGCTGCTGTCTGGCACTGCCAGGGCCAAAGTATGAGCCATAGGCAGCAACCCCACCACCCCCAGTAGCAGGGCCACCATGCATTTAAAAATGCCCTGAGGAAAGCCTACTCTGTTTATATGGCTGCCAACTGTGGCCAAAGAGTGTGCTCCTTAGTTGCCTGTTTATGCTTCTTCTACTGCCA